>NC_000010.11:17585757-17737272 GCF_000001405.40 Homo sapiens | reverse complement strand
GCAGGAGAAGCGAGGGTGTTGATTCCCTTGTCCCTCTTTCCCACTCACTGTGCCAGTTTCAGCTCTGTCAGTCCATCCCTCCTCCTAGGCCCAGCAATCACTGTACACACTTGCCGCTGAACGCTTGCTCCTTTGGGCCCAGGGTGGTGACAGTTGAGGGTGTCTGTTCCCTTGGCCTTCAGTAAGTAGTTCTTTCAGAAAAGCCTGTCCCCTGAAGCTCCTGAGTGTGATTCTCCAGGGCTCTGGAGACCCAGCTTGCATACGGTGAAGTGGAACTGGCCACCCACTCAACATTTATAAAGTGAATATTGCAAAAATGATTGCTCCTGGTGTAATAGCAGATAATAAAGATTCCATTATTTTCTGCGAGAAGCTTAAATTTACACACATGAAGGGGATTAGGGTTGACAAAAACCATTTTTAAGGGATGTGATTCAGCATAACTACTTAAATTTCTATACACAATTTTATTAATCTTAGGTATTGAATAGGTAGAACTTTGGACCAAGTATGTCTCTATAGTTCCCCGCAGAAGTCTGACCTAGTTTACTACCATCAGGTTAGAACGCTAAGGTTTATTTAAACAATCTTAAATAAGCAAACTAAAAACCTGGAACCAATTCTTTAACCTACACTTAATGTAGACTTCCACATTCTAATGAGACATTCTTACATGCAAATGCTTAATCTGGAGTCCTCCTGTGGGACACGCACACACACATGGAGAGAGAAAAATACAAAATTCTCCATTAGTGCAAGACCCTGGAGAACAAGGACCTGATTCATTCTCCCCTGTGGCCTCCAGCATTCTCAGGAGGGGCTTCCCACACAGCAGAGACTGAATCAATTGTTCAGTGACAAGATGGGAGACAGCACACCATGGCGGACACAAGCACAAAGGTTGCCTAGGTTTGTACCCCAGCTATGCCACCTGCTGGATGAACTTGGGCAAATAATTAATCTCTCTGTGCCTCAGTCTCCTCACCTATGGCAGGGGGTTATTAGTATCATCCTAGTTTCAATGAGTTATTTGAAAAGCACTTAGACTGGTGCCTGTCCCATAGTAAGGACAAGATAAGAGCATGTTGAATAAATAAAGGGATGGTATTTTTCACATCACCTGGAGCCACTGTAGCTGGAAGGGCCTTTAAGAGAGATATAATTTTTTCATTTTATTTTATTTATTTAAATATTTATTTATTTATTTATTTTTGAGATGGAGTTTCACTCTTGTTGCCCAGGCTGGAGTGCAATGGCATGATCTTGGCTCACTGCAACCTTCGCCGCCCAGGTTCAAGCAATTCTTCTGCCTCAGCCTCCTGAATAGCTGGGATTATAGGCACGCACCACCATGCCTGGCTAATTTCTGTATTTTTTTTTTTTTTTTTTTTTTAGTATAGGCAGGGTTTCACCACATTGGCCAGGCTGGTCTTGAACTCCTGACCTCAGGCGATCCACCGCCTCAGCCTCCCAAAGTGCTGCGATTACAGGCACGAGCCACCATAGCCAGCCAATTTTCTCATTTTAGAGATAAGACTGAGGCCTAGAAAAGGTGAATTCAGTAAGCCGCTGCGAAAGGTGTGATCAGCTCACTCCTAGGAAGATCTGCTTGTTGATACACATATTTTATAAATCAATGGGAATAATTTTATCCGACAAAACAAAAATCCCTGCCCCTGACCCTAGGGAATGAAAAAACATGGGCTTCCACCCCTATTCTGGGAAAGGTTTAGTCATAAGTGGATTAACTTTTGTTCCACAAGAAACGACTTTTTGACTTTATTATTACTATCCAACACAACTGTCAAGACCTATGAAGGCAAGCTGAAAAGTCAGCCGGCCACAGTTCCCGGAATGCTGACAGAAGGCACAGAGGCATGGCTCCAAGACAAAGAACTACGCTACTCACAGCGTTAGCAGGAGCCAGAGTATCATTTCCTGTGCCAGTTCCTCAAGCACAGGGAAGATAAGAAGGGCAAGTGACAAGGGCAAAGGCAGTGAGCTGCAGAACAAAACAGGAGCCCTGAGCTCCATCTCTCAGTCTTTCATCACGGTCAGCCTGCCTGCGCTTTGCTCTAAAGAGAGACACTAACTCCATCTTCCAAGGATGTAAACAAACCTGTCCCTTGCTCCAGAAGGAGACGCTATGTGTATCTCCCAAGGTTGTGTGCCATACAAATATCCTGGAAAAGACGGCCTAGAAAAAGCACTGTCATTTTCTCTGCTTGCAAGATGTGCAAGAACTATGGAGGATTATCTCCCAACCATTTCTACCTTTCGCTTCTACATCATTAAGTTTTTGGCAAATTTTTCCATGCATACGCCGATCCGTCAGCCACTATGATTAATCTGTCTGACAGAGGCTGGGGCCCAATCTGTTCCATGGCACATTTAATTAAAACTACCACCAACACACTGCAAGCAGTAGGATAAGGCCAACTTCAACCATGCCCCAGTGGCCTGGACTCAGCCACTTAACTCTCACAAACAATGAGTCTACCTTCAAAAATCAGATGGACCTGAACTTCCTCTCCCTGAAGCAGACCAACGTAGGATGAAAGTAATCATCACCAAGGACAGTCAGCTAATCAGCACCAAAGCCGCATCAGTCAGCATCTGAGAAACAGCTTATTCACGGGACCAGGATACTTAAGTGACACCAACTAAGATTCACTCTCATCAGCAGATTTCCCTTTGGCTAGATTACCTTTTTATCACCTCCCAACATTTTTTTGTTTTGTTTTGAGATGGAGTCTTGCTCTGTCACTCATGCTGGAGTACAGTGGTGTGATCTTGGCTCACTGCAACGTCCACCTCCTGAGTTCAAGAGATTCTCCTGCCTTAGCCTCCCGAGTAGCTGGGATTACAGGTGTGCACCACTGCACCCGGCTAATTTTTGTATTTTTAGTAGTGTCGGGGTTTCACCATGTTGGCCAAGCTGGTCTTGAACTCCTGGCCTCAGGTGATCCTCCCGCTTCGGCCTGCCAAACTGCTGGGATTCCAGGCGTGAGCCACCATGCCCAGCCTTCCTCCCAACTATTTTAGGTTTGGGAGTACATATGCAGTTTTGTTACATGAGTAAATTGTGTCAGGGGTTTGGTGTACATTATTTCATCACCTGGGTGGTGAGCACAGTATCTAATGGGTAGTTTTTCGGTCCTCACCCTCCTCCCATCCTGCACCGTCCTTTTGCTGGATTTCCATAGTTCTCCATGTGCCCCAACCCTTCCGGGCCACGTGTTTTCTATTGCTGCATAACAAATTACTACACATTTAGTGGCTTAAAACCACCTACACTGATTATCTCACAGTTTCTGTGGGCCAGGAATCTGGACAGGGCTTAGCTGAGTCCTCTTCAAGGCTGCGATCAAAGTGTTGGCCAGGGCTGGGTTCTCCTCTGGAGGCTCGTCTTGGGAAGGGTCTGCTTCCAAGCTCAGCCTGCCGGCAAAAGCATGACGTAATGTCAGCAAGGAGTGATGGCCCATCGCATTTGCCATAGTCTATTGGTTTTCAGCAAGACACATGTCCTGCCCATACTCAAAGAAAGGGAATTAAATAAGGGTCTGAACGTCACAAGGAAGGGCTCATGGGGACACACTCCAGAGTCTGTCTGCCACAGACACATTCTTTAGAATCATGACCAGGTCCTAGAAGCCACAGTCCAGTACTGTCCAGGAGAAACAGAACATCAACCATGTGTGGAATGTTAAATTTTCTAGCACCCATATTAAAAAACAGTGAAAAATACATACACTACCATACTATTCTATGGATGCAATGGTTACCATGAAATATAGTCCCACCAAAACAGCTTATGAAATAGCTTACACTGCTGGTTTTTAAGTTTAAATTAATTCAAATGAAATCAGATTTAAAATTCAGTCCCTCAATTGCACCAGCCCATTCCAAGTGCTCAACAGTCCAAATGAACAGTGAGGTCTTAGATCCACCCTCTCTTTAAAGCAGGAGGCAATGCTTCAAATATCCCCTGGGTCAGGCAAAAGAGTGGTGACAAGATGATCTCCTTGACCTCCTAAACCTCTTCTCAGGCTTCGATCTTGGCCACCGTCCTTGCCAGGCCTGCACAGCCCAGTTTTAGCAAGAATCCTGCTAGGTCAGTTTAGAGAGAAGCCCTCCTGCCTTGAGATCTCATCAAATCCCTCGTCCTCCACCCTGGCTATCTGATCACCCTGGCCTGCTCTTAGCAAGAATCCTCTCTATCCCCGAGGTCTCCTCTTAGTGATTTTCCAACCATGAACTACTCCCCTCCACCCTTGGCTGTAAGTCCCCATCTGTCTTTACTGTATTCCACTGAGCCCAGTTCTGGACGCAAGTCTCTTTTCCCTATTGCAATAGTTTCTGTATAAAATCTCTCAGGCCGGGCGTAGTGGCCCACGCCTGTAATCCCAACACTTTGGGAGGCTGAGGCAGGCGGATCACCTGAGGTTGGGAGTTTGAGGCCAGCCTGTCGAACATGGAGAAACCCCACCTCTAGTAAAAATACAAAATTAGCTGGACGTGGTGGCACATGCCTGTAATCCCAGCTACTCAGGAGGCTCAGGCAGGAGAATCGCTTGAACCCGGGAGGCAGAAGTTGCAGTGAGCCGAGATGGTGCCATTGCACTCCAGCCTGGGCAACAAGAGCGAAACTCCATCTCAAAAAAATAATAATAAATGTCTCTTTACTGCTTCAATAAGAGTCCATCTCTGATTCTCCCCAACAGTTGGGAGGGCTCAGTAGCAAACTGGAGACAGCATGGATAGTTGTGGGAACACAGGCCTCACGTTGTTAGATCTGGGATTTTTCTTTTCTTTTCTTTTCTTTTTTTTGAGACAGTCTCACTCTGTCGCCCAGGCTGGAGTGCAGTGGCGCTATCTCGGCTCACTGCAAGCTCCGCCCCCCGGGTTCATGCCATTCTCCTGCCTCAGCCTCCCGAGTAGCTGTGACTACAGGTGCCAGTCACCATGCCCGGCTAATTTTTTGTAGTTTTAGTAGAGAGGGGGTTTCACCGTGTTTGCCAGGATGGTCTCGATCTCCTGACCTCGTGATCTGCCCACCTAGGCCTCCTAAAGTGCTGGGATTACAGGCGTGAGCCACCGCGCCCGGCCTAGATCTGGGATTTTTCAAGGAGCCAAAAGTCTGTATTTTTGGTGGGAAATCACGTAGACATAAAATATCATCTATTCAAAAAACATTTTTTAACTCTCTGCAGGCCAAATAAAACATGTCAGACTGATCTGGCTAAGCCAGCAGAGTTTAACCTCAGCTTTAAGGTACCCATCTCCTACTTTGGTTCCTTCTCTACTATTTTGTCAATTTGAATCACACAGAGTGATCTTATTTCCTGAAAGTTTTGGGGAGCTACAGCACTGCAGTCTTTAAGAAATGACCACACACAGGGAGAATCCCCCAGGACCAAGGCCTCTCCTGGGCAGTGGGCGTTCCTCTTCCCCAGCCTGCCCCATGCCATCCCACCTATCCTTGCTTCCTATTTCACTCAAGGGACAGTTTGACAGGGAAGCAGGAAAGCAGAAGATCTCTTTTCTCATCAGGATCTTTCCCAACTCATAAATGTCCAGAAGAAAACAGAATATATTTTCCTGATTAGTTATACTCATTCTTTTCTATATTTGCATCTTCCCCCAGTTAAGAATGAAAAGCAAGACAGGGCAAACGTTTACCTAGTTTACCTTGGTGCTTCCTACAGCAGAATTAAGATAAAACATGCCATAAAACTGATGGAATCATAAGGAAATGGAAATCATAATGAAATGAACGTTGACTTTGAAACCCTGGGAGAGCATTACAATGAAAAGATTGTTTAATGAGGCATTTAGAGGCGAGGAAAATGACCACCTTCCTTTCCCCTGTCCCCCTCCCCACCAAGGGCCCTGCTCCAGTAACTGGTTGCTCAGCTGCCTCTAAGGATGGGTGTTGGGCTTCGGATTCCTCAGGTGGATATACAAGGTGTAGCCTCTCAGAAAAAAAAAAAAAAAAAAACAAATTTAAGGATTATCATGATAAACAGGTATCAAATCAGCCTGCCTAGGGCCTCTATCCGTTACAGTTCAGCCTTCAATCCACTGGAAAACCACAAAGAGTTGCTTCAGGGAGAGAACAGGAGGAGCTGAGAAATTGTCTTTAGTCTTTCCATGGATCAGGTAAAGCTGTCAAAGTGGAAAGAAGGCAGGTAGATTTATCTCTGGGACTCCCAAAAAAGGATGACAGCATACTGGCCTAGACGAGGTATTCTGAGGGTAGCGATGAGAAGCCCCACCGCTTCTGGGGAGGTGGAGGAGCCTCAGAACCCACGGATGGCTACCAGGAGATGTGCCCCTGGCAGTCTCCCTTGGACTTGGTGTGCCTTCCTACAAAGCACTCACGGGGTATGAGCCAGACATACCAGTAACACTACGCTACATTCTGGTTATATCATAGATTAAATGGGGTTTGGACCCCAGCCCGGCATCCCAGTCACCAAATTCAGCATTGTTCTAAAATGTTTCCTAGAACTTACTATGTTACAAATGAGCTTGTGGAACACGTAAATGAGGGAAGACTTGTGCAAAAGATCTTCTAACATAGTGTAACAATTAAATTTTAACACTAGAGTGGGCTCATTGCTGTTTCCTTATTGTTCATTTTTCAGTAAGTTTACATGTTGATATCAAAATGAACTTGTAAAAAGTCCTGGATTCAAGTTTTCTGATTTCTAAAGGTACTTAAATATTTAAATAAATGCCTGACATATTTAGTGCTATGAAATGTAAAACTTAAGAAGGCAGTTAGTGTATCTTAAAAATAGTGTAAACACTTAAGCAAATGAAGACCAAACCATCAACAGTTAATAAACAAAAATAAATTAAGGACATAATGGCTGTGACCACTTATCTCAAAAAGTGATGTTTATCCTTAATTTTCTTTTCTTTCCCTGTTTTTTTGGGAGAGGCAGGATTGTAGGGCATATAATTTCTCACAGGCTTTATGTGTTTTGTGTTTTCTTACCGGGTTTACAGGGCATTTAATTTCCCACAGATTTTAAGCATTTTAAGCAAAACACATAAAATAATTATTTGAATCTAAATGTGTTTACATGTTCAGTGGGGATCATTTCTGATCTGGTAAGGGGGAAGAAAGAGTTTTGTACCTTAGAGGTTGTCCACAATTCTTATTCATTTAGAAGTACAAAGAGTATTTTTCTGGGTAGAAATAAATGGTAAATAGCCACTCATTCTCCACCACAAAGTGTCTTTTAAAGTCAATATTGATATCACATTTGTTTGGAAAACACAAACTTGTTCCAGGAAATTAATAATGAATATGAGCAGAACTACAAGGAATATGAGCAGAACGCAAATTTCACAATTTGCTTACGCATGGTCTCATCCAGGAGCAACGCTAGGTGAAATGTGGAAAACCACACCCAGCATCGGAACACACAGAACACGAGTGAGCAGCCTCCGTTCACTGCAAGTACTGAGTCACACTTACCCAGTCCTGGGATTAGAACTCACCCTCTGATTCCAGCTGACTCTCCTTCCACAGCTTCACCTTAATTCATGAGCTGCAACCCTTCCTATGCCCACTTCTACAGGCACACTTCAGGTCTTTTCCAAGGTAAAGTGCCATATTTATTAACCATTTAACATGTGTCAAACTGTGCTGCTCTTATTAGATTCTTATCTTTATTCTTGGGTATGTCACTGTTGAAGTTTTGGGTTGCTGAGCCTCTAACCCAGTTTTCCCCATATATCCTAAGGCCTCTTTATTGTACAATTTTGCCGAGCATTCTGGTTTTTAGAAGGCAACTGTGCATTAACAGCAGGATTCACTGCATTCTATTGTGAGCATCATTTCATCAAAATTATAGCAATTCAAGTCCAACATCCAAGAGGTATCTGCTGGAAACCACCCCTAATGTTCAGAATTCTCTTATTTTAAGCATTCTGTATAGCATTTTACATTTCTCAAATGACAGCTCTTGGAATAAACATCGAGAAACAAATGAATTATAAACAGCATTTGATTAATAAGCCATGAATATTTAGAAATGTCATTTTCAAAAGACATTAAACAGTAATTCAGATCATGCTACTCAGTTTTAATTTAGTGATGTTTACCACTTGGTCAAAAACAAGCACTAGCACTTCAAAGTTTTAATCTCAAAATATTTCCTTGCGACAAAACTACTAAGACATATTACCTAAACACCGCTCCTTTAGCTTTTAATACCACTATCTTCGTTTAAACTTTGAAGAAAATCCCGAGACCATTTTAAATTACTACGTACATAAAACAAACATTTAGCATAAACCAGGCACTTATTCAATGTTAAATTTTCCCCACTGCAAGCATAAACAAAATCATGTTTCAACAAATATGCTCTGACAAATAAAAATCTGAAGGCTTTTTCTTGCCTTTAAAATATACAACTCAGCACAGTTAAATATCTACAAATGTTGGTGAAAAGTTAAAATAAAAATGTAATTTGCTTCCATCATGCTAAAAACCTTAAGAAAATTATTCTTTTTCAAATACAAGAGAGGCATGAAGAAAAGTAGAAATACTCTACTACTTATCTTAATGAAGGAAGCAAAAGCACGGTAATTTAACTCGTAGCCTAATGTAATTCTATTCTAGCCACTAGGTCTTTCCACATCGAATGCTTATTTAACTTAACCTGAAGAGAATCCACTTGACTGTCTGCCCCTACACCCCATGTAAATTAACATTCAGCAACCAGCTGAATGAAATGAGACTGTTCTGATGTTTTGATATTAAAATACTTCACTAAAATCTATTAGAATCTAAGTGGCTGTTTTTAAAATAAAGAAAAAGGCATTAATTGTATAATCACAGAATTGGTATTTACTATAAGAATTCTTTTTTTCTTGTTTTTTGGTAGAGCCCGACCAATATTCCTTTCTGTGACCATTCTTACAAAACATTAGCAAAAAATAGCAAAAAAGATTTTAAAAGGTACCTGTTTACAAAGGGAGACAACACACAAATCTGATAAACAACCGGAAAAGTTTGTCTTTCCCCCTCAACAAGTATAAAAGCCTTATCCAGTTTACTTAGTACTTGAAGTAAGCCCCAACTTCTTCATCAGATTCCATTAAATAATATAAACTTTAAGGAAAGCTTTTTAGATGCCAGCATGGTATCTAATCTTCTAAAGTGCAAATAGGAAAACTAAAAACAAGTATTCTTTATTTGTGGAATTGTTTTATAAAACTATATAAAATAATAGATAAATTTAACTGACAACACAAGAAAAAAGCCGATTTTAAAAAAAAAAACAACCTTCCTTGAATTTAATGTCTACTTTAATACTTATTTATATTAATAACTTGTAACTAAGCAGTATATAATGGCATTTTTCTAGGCCAAATATTTGTGATGCAAAAAAAAAAAAAATCACTGCTGGTTTTGCACCTTACTTGGTAGACAATTTTAGCCAGCACAAAAGATGGAAACTACTAGTTTCCATAGTACTCTAGCATCTCAGCAATACAACAGCTAAAGAACGGCAAGTGTAGTATACTGGTGACATTAACATTTTCAGTTCACCAAGACCAAGATGCCACTTTGCATACAAGAACATCAAGAATAAAATTTCATGTAGTCTGATGCTACTTACCTCCTTTAGTTTGAAGCAGTATACAAATACAGTATCTGTCCCAGAGTTACAACTATTTATTTTTCTGTTTTCAAATCAACACCAATGAAAGTTAAAGTACTATGGCTGAAGCGCTTCTACTTGGAATGCAGATGTTCCTGATAAAATCACTCAGAACAAAAGGCTCACCAGATACGAATGGAGATAAAGTACCCCCAGGTTACGTTCAGAAAGTACACTGCTATAACTACATGCTAGAAATCATGCACCCAAGTTTCAGTACCATGGTACCCAGGTCCATTCAGTGACATAGGTGAACTATTCAGGCTGAATGGCAGGGATAGTTAAGGTAGGCAGAGGTAGATGATATGAAACAGAAAATTTATACAAGCTACAAAAGATCATGTTACATTAGCCTTACAATGCATAAATAAGTAGACGACCCAGAAAGATACATGGAGCTGCCCCAAATCACATATCTACCAAGATATTCTTTTGACAAAAGATATACCTGGATTAAAGTCTAGTTCTCTGAATTCCTACAGCCATGAGCTGAAATTTCCACTTAATAGCAGAATGGACAAGTAAATTCCTACAACTTAATTTAGTTCTTATTCTTATCTTCAACCCCAAATACCATCACCACTATCCACCCCTTTCTTTAAAAGAAATCCACGTACTCACAAAAGTATGATACATTTACAATACAAATTAATGAAACCATTTTTTCATGAGCCATCCACCTTTTATAGAAATGAACTTGTTATAATGGTTCCTCTAAGTGAATTTACCTGTATTCCTGATTACAACTTCTTCAGTCATTTTCAGCCACTCCTTTACAGGGTATTATGTTTTTAAATTACAGAATATCAAAGATACTTATATCAAACCCTTCTTTTCTCTGGAGAAATAGAAACAAATTCTGAAACAGTAAACAGATTTTTTTTCCATTTTTGGTTCAGAGAAAAATAACCATACATGGATGTCTCACGTAAATTTTCCTATTTTGCATCTTACCTGGCTAACAGACAATATCACCTATAATTAACCGAAAACATTCTTAACTGTTTATACAGCATATCTTTTTCTAAAGTAACAAGATAATGTGATCACCCTGCAGTTAAGAAACTTGATGTATCCTGCCATAGAAACAACTGATTACAAACATTTATTCTACTTTTTAAATGCCATTAACCAACTGAAACAAGTCCCAAACTAGTTCTTTAATAAGCTGACGGCATATGTTACTGTAATGTGCATGTGTTTCAAAATTGACTGTGTTTATATATTTTATTCAGTCTGCTTCCAATTTAGTTACCAACTTGAGGAAAATAAGTAACAATGATAACTTTTAAAAAGAAAGGGCTTTCCCTCCCCTTCAGTGATTTCCCTATTTTAACAGAAGGTTATGACTAGGGTCATGAGAAGTCTTTCAAAACAAACGTGCCAAAATGTTTGCATCTAAAAACATAGAACTCTATTTGCTGGTTACATTTCTAGAGTTACCTAAAAGCCATCCAGAGTGAATAAGGTGGGTATTGAACAAATGGAGAAAAGCTGAGTAGGGTTTGAATGGGGAAAGGGCACAAATTTTCTGCAGCTTCTCTGAATGCAATTCAAGATGAAGAACATAAAAGTGTACTGAGCTACGGCAGCATCAATGGCTTGAGGATACAGGCTATCACAGAGCAGCTACATGTTAGGGTTAACAACGTTCCTTTATGTGTGCAGCTTCCGATGCAAGCCTGAAAAATCTAATCTGATTACCTCTAACCAGAACTCATCTGGTTCTGACGTAATTCTTTTAGGAATAAGTACTACAGTAGAGGCAAAGAGAATAGAGCATCAAGTCAGAAATCCAGAACGTAAGAAATTCTACGATACAACTGGCAGGGGTGTTTAAAAAGTCAATGTCGTGGAGCATCAGGGGGAGATGACAAGATTAACCCAGATTAGTAGAGAATCAAAGGACATTAGAAGTGTGGGTATATATTCCTGGAATGGATCCTGGATTTAAAATATATACATATCTATAAAAGACAGTTTGAGGGACATTCAATAACAATATATTACAGAATTACTGTTAATTTTCTTAGATGTGAAAATGGTTTAGGTTATGTGGGAAACTGTCCAAATCCTTACAAGACGTAAGATGAAGAACTTAGAAATATGGTTTACAATGTTTATAATGTGTCAGTTCACACAATAAAGTATGTGTGTATATACATAAGAACACTCCTATATATATATATGTATACACACACACACGTGCATATATAAACATACACGAGATAAAACAAACGTGGCAAATTTTTAATGATTAGCAAATCTAGATGAATAGTAATTAGATGTTCAGTGTTATCACTCTTCCAATCTTTCTGTAAGTATGAAAATTTCCCAACAATTTTTTGAGAAAGTACCACTTAAAGTAACAGATACTTACTTCAAGGGACCAACTTAGTAACATTCTACATCCCCTGCCTGTTTAATCTTAGCCTCTCAACAAAGTGGTCTCCAAATCAGGTTCATACATCCTAGGGCACAGAGAAAACAAACCACTAAGATATAGAAAGAAAATACTTAAATTTCTATTAATAACTTTTTATCTCACCCTTTTAAGATTTCTATTTTTTGGTGTGTTTCATAATGTACAATATGCTTTTATATAGTAGAACTTGTAAAATTTGTGAATAAATATATATACATATTTTTAAGGCTACACACTCAAAAAATTTGTTACTCATCAGGGTATCTAATCAAAAAATTTGGATACTACTCTTCTATAAAACAGACATGACTTTTGCTAAGTCTCTGACCACCAAAAGACCATTAAAATCAGTCCCTTTTGCTTTTATCCAGGGGTTTACTGACTCTTAATAATTTATTATCAGAAATTCTAGGTGTAACAGCAGCAGCAAAAAGACAGTAATGACAGTGGTAAGTGTTAGCAGATGCCAGGGAATCAGAGAACTGGCAAAGTGTAGTTTGGCCACAAGTTAGCACCAATAAAATGTTCAATTTTGTTCATCAAGGAAATCTAGAGTTTTAAATACTGAAATACTGAGATTTAAAGTGTTCTAGAACATCATAGGGAAGAGCATTTTTGAAGCCTGGAAATTTTCAGAAAAAGATACTATCAAGTACTAAGTAATTTCGAAAGAAGACCATTCTAAGGAAGAATACAGATAATACAATGAAGGCAGCTTTGCTTAAAAACGTGGGCGTGTGGTGGGCATGTCAATATAAAGAATACAGAAAACAACCTAGGTAATTGATAAGAACACTTAATGGAATCATGATGCTAAAATAAAAGATAATTGAACATAAGGCCTTTGAGAAATATTTAGGTAAGTTTCTTCTATATATTTTATTCTAAGGCGTACAAGTAGTTAATCCAAAAAAAGAAATAAAAAGGAAAACGATACAAGTGAAAACTTTATAAACCATAGCTTTGTTATTAAATATTTTTAAAATGATGTAACAGAAGGCAAGCTATAATTATTAGAACTGGAAAGTAAACCAAGAAAATAGATGAGAAAAGAAAATGATGACTTCACTGTATATTAAACAGATGAAAATTTGAGCAATTATACCAATAAATTTCATTTTGGAAAATAATTTCCATAATTTTTTTATACTTTAAGTTTTAGGGTACTTCTGCACAATGTGCAGGTTAGTTACATATGTATACATGTGCCATGCTGGTGTGCTGCACCCATTAACTCGTCATTTAGCATTAGGTATATCTCCTAATGCTATCCCTCCCCCCTCTCCCCACCCCACAACAGTCCCCAGAGTGTGATGTTCCCCTTCCTGTGTCCATGTGTTCTCATTGTTCAATTCCCACCTATGAGTGAGAATATGCAGTGTTTGGTTTTTTGTTCTTGCGATAGTTTACTGAGAATGATGATTTCCAATTTCATCCATGTCCCTACAAAGGACATGAACTCATCATTTTTTATGGCTGCATAGTATTCCATGGTGGATATGTGCCACATTTTCTTAATCCAGTCTATCATTGTTGGACATTTGGGTTGGTTCCAAGTCTTTGCTATTGTGAATAGTGCCGCAATAAACATACGTGTGCATGTGTCTTTATAGCAGCATGATTTATAGTCCTTTGGGTATATACCCAGTAATGGGATGGCTGGATCAAATGGTATTTCTAGTTCTACATCCCTGAGGACTCGCCACACTGACTTCCACAATGGTTGAACTAGTTTACAGTCCCACCAACGGTGTAAAAGTGTTCCTATTTCTCCACATCCTCTCCAGCAGCTGTTGTTTCCTGACTTTTTAATGATTGCCATTCTAACTGGTGTGAGATGGTATCTCATTGTGGTTTTGATTTGCATTTCTCTGATGGCCACTGACGGTGAGCATTTTTTCATGTGTTTTTTGGCTGCATAAATGTCTTCTTTTGAGAAGTGTCTGTTCAAGTCCTTTGCCCACTTTTTGATGGGGTTCTTTGTTTTTTTCTCATAAATTTGTTTGAGTTCATTGTAGATTCTGGATATTTGCCCTTTGTCAGATGTGTAGGTTGTGAAAATTTTCTCCCATTTTGTAGGTTGCCTGGTCACTCTGATGGTAGTTTCTTTTGCTGTGCAGAAGCTCTTTAGTTGAATTAGATCCCATTTGTCAATTTTGGCTTTTGTTGCCATTGCTTTTGGCTGGAGAGGCAGCCAAGATGGCCAAATACGAACAGCTCTGGTCTACAGCTCCCAGCGTGAGCGACGCAGAAGATGGGTGATTTCTGCATTTCCATCTGAGGTACTGGGTTCATCTCACTAGGGAGTGCCAGACAGTGGGCGCAGGACAGTGGGTGCAGCGCACCGAGCGCGAGCTGAAGCAGGGCGAGGCATTGCCTCACTCAGGAAGTGCAAGGGGTCAGGGAGTTCCCTTTCCTAGTCAAAGAAAGGGGTGACAGACGGCACCTGGAAAATCGGGTCACTCCCACCCTAATACTGCGCTTTCCTGACGGGCTTAAAAAACGGCACACCAGGAGATTATATCCCGCACGTGGCTCAGAGGGTCCAACACCCACAGAGTCTCGTTGACTGCTAGCACAGCAGTCTGAGATCAAACTGCAAGGCAGCAGCAAGGCTGGGGGAGGGGCGCCTGCCATTGCCCGGGCTTGCTTAGGTAAACAAAGCAGGCGGGAAACTCGAACCGGGTGGAGACCACCACAGCTCAAAGAGGCCTGCCTGCCTCCGTAGGCTCCACCTCTGGGGGCAGGGCACAGACAAACAAAAAGACAGCAGTAACCTCTGCAGACTTAAATGTCCCTGTCTGACAGCTTTGAAGAGAGCAGTGGTTCTCCCAGCACGCAGCTGGAGATCTGAGAACAGGCAGACTGCCTCCTCAAGTGGGTCCCTGACCCCTGACCCCTGACCCCCGAGCAGCCTAACTGGGAGGCACCCCCCCAGTAGGGGCAGACTGACAACTCACACGGCCGGGTACTCCTCTGAGACAAAACTTCCAGAGGAACGATCAGACAGCAGCATTCGCGGTTCATGAAAATCTGCTCTTCTGCAGCCACCGCTGCTGATACACAGGGAAACAGGGTCTGGAGTGGACCTCTAGCAAACTCCAACAGACCTGCGCTGAGGGTCCTCTCTGTTAGAAGGAAAACTAACAAACAGAAAGGACATCCACACCAAAAACCCATCTGTACATCACCATCATCAAAGACCAAAAGTAGATAAAACCACAAAGATGGCGAAAAAACAGAGCAGAAAAACTGGAAACTCTAAAAAGCAGAGCACCTCTCCTCCTCCAAAGGAACGCAGTTCCTCACCAGCAACGGAACAAAGCTGGATAGAGAATGACTTTGACGAGGTGAGAGAAGAAGGCTTCAGACGATCAAACTACTCCGAGCTACAGGAGGAAATTCAAACCAAAGGCAAAGAAGTTAAAAACTATGAAAAAAATTCAGATGAATGTATAACTAGAATAACCAATACAGAGGAGTGCTTAAAGGAGCTGATGGAGCTGAAAGCCAAGGCTCGAGAACTACGTGAAGAATGCAGAAGCCTCAGGAGCCGATGCGATCAACTGGAAGAAAGGGTATCAGTGATGGAAGATGAAATGAATGAAATGAAGCGAGAAGGGAAGTTTAGAGAAAAAAGAATAAAAAGAAATGAACAAAGCCTCCAAGAAATATGGGACTATGTGAAAAGACCAAATCTACGTCTGATTGGTGTACCTGAAAGTGACGGGGAGAATGGAACCAAGTTGGAAAACACTCTGCAGGATATTATCCAGGAGAACTTCCCCAATCTAGCAAGGCAGGCCAACATTCAGATTCAGGAAATACAGAGAATGCCACAAAGATACTCCTCGAGAAGAGCAACTCCAAGACACATAATTGTCAGATTCACCAGAGTTGAAATGAAGGAAAAAACGTTAAGGGCAGCCAGAGACAAAGGTCGGGTTACCCACAAAGGGGAAGCCCATCAGACTAACAGCAGCTCTCTCAGCAGAAACTCTACAAGCCAGAAGAGAGTGGGGGCCAATATTCAACATTCTTAAAGAAAAGAATTTTCAACCCAGAATTTCATATCCAGCCAAACTAAGCTTCATAAGTGAAGGAGAAATAAAATACTGTACAGACAAGCAAATGCTGGGAGATTTTGTCACCACCAGGCCTGCCCTAAAAGAGCTCCTGAAGGAAGCGCTAAACATGGAAAGGAAAAACCGGTACCAGCCGCTGCAAAATCATGCCAAAATGTAAAGACCATCGAGGCTAGGAAGAAACTGCATCAACTAACGAGCAAAATAACCAGCTAACATCATAATGACATGATCAAATTCACACATAACAATATTAACTTTAAATGTACATGGACTAAATGCTCCAATTAAAAGACACAGACTGGCAAATTGGATAAAGAGTCAAGACCCATCAGTGTGCTGTATTCAGGAAACCCATCTCACGTGCAGAGACACACATAGGCTCAAAATAAAAGGATGGAGGAAGATCTACCAAGCAAATGGAAAACAAAAAAAGGCAGGGGTTGCAATCCTAGTCTCTGATAAAACAGACTTTCAACCAACAAAGATCAAAAGAGACAAAGAAGGCCATTACATAATGGTAAAGGGATCAATTCAACAAGAAGAGCTAACTATCCTAAATATATATGCACCCAATACAGGAGCACCCAGATTCATAAAGCAAGTCCTGAGTGACCTACAAAGAGACTTAGACTCCCACACATTAATAATGGGAGACTTTAACACCCCACTGTCAACATTAGACAGATCAACGAGACAGAAAGTTAACAAGGATAACCAGGAATTGAACTCAGCTCTGCACCAAGCGGACCTAATAGACATCTACAGAACCCTCCACCCCAAATCAACAGAATATACATTTTTTTCAGCACCACACCAAACCTATTCCAAAATTGACCACATACTTGGAAGTAAAGCTCTCCTCGCCAAATGTAAAAGAACAGAAATTATAACAAACTGTCTCTCAGACCACGGTGCAATCAAACTAGAACTCAGGATTAAGAAACTCACTCAAAACCGCTCAACTACATAGAAACTGAACAACCTGCTCCTGAATGACTACTGGGTACATAACGAAATGAAGGCAGAAATAAAGATGTTCTTTGGAACCAACGAGAACAAAGACACAACGTACCAGAATCTCTGGGACACATTCAAACCAGTGTGTAGAGGGAAATTGATAGCACTAAAAGCCCACAAGAGAAAGCAGGAAAGATCCAAAATTGACACCCTAACATCACAATTAAAAGAACTAGAAAAGCAAGAGCAAACACATTCAAAAGCTAGCAGAAGGCAAGAAATAACTAAAATCAGAGGAGAACTCAAGGAAATAGAGACACAAAAAACCCTTCAAAAAATTAATGAATCTAGGAGCTGGTTTTTTGAATGGATCAACCAAATTGATAGACCACTAGCAAGACTAATAAAGAAGGAAAGAGAGAAGAATCAAATAGATGCAATAAAAAATGATAAAGGGGATATCACCACCAATCCCACAGAAATACAAACTACCATCAGAGAATACTACAAACACCTCTACGCAAATAAACTAGAAAATCTAGAAGAAATGGATAAATTCCTCAACACATACACCCTCCCAAGACTAAACCAGGAAGAAGTTGAATCTCTGAATAAACCAGTAACAGGCTCTGAAATTCTGGCAATAATCAATAGCTTACCAACCAAAAAGAGTCCAGGACCAGATGGATTCACAGCCGAATTCTACCCGAGGTACAAGGAGAAACTGGTACCATTCCTTCTGAAACTACTCCAATCAATAGAAAAAGAGGAAATCCTCCCTAACTCATTTTATGAGGCCAGCATCATCCTGATACCAAAGACTGGCAGAGACACAACCAAAAAAAGAGAATTTTAGACCAATATCCTTGATGAACATTAATGCAAAAATCCTCAATAAAATACTGGCAAACCGAATCCGGCAGCACATCAAAAAGCTTATCCACCATGATCAAGTGGGCTTCATCCCTGGGATGCAAGGCTGGTTCAATATATGCAAATCAATAAATGTAATCCAGCATATAAACAGAACCAAAGACAAAAACCACATGATTATCTCAATAGATGCAGAAAAGGCCTTTGACAAAATTCAACAACCCTTCATGCTAAAAACTCTCAATAAATTAGGTATCGATGGGAAGTATCTCAAAATAATAAGAGCTATCTATGACAAACCCACAGCTAATATCATACTGAATGGGCAAAAACTGGAAGCATTCCCTTTGAAAACAGGCACAAGACAGGGATGCCCTCTCTCATCACTCCTATTCAACATAGTGTTGGAAGTTCTGGCCAGAGCAATTAGGCAGGAGAAGGAAATAAAGGGTATTCAATTAGGAAAAGAAGAAGTCAAATTGTCCCTGTTTGCAGATGGCATGATTGTATATCTAGAAAACCCCATTGTCTCAGCCCAAAATCTCCTTAAGCTGATAAGCAACTTCAGCAAAGTCTCAGGATACAAAATCAGTGTACAAAAATTACAAGCATTCTTATACACCAATAACAGACAAACGGAGAGCCAAATCATGAGTGAACTCCCATTCACAATTGCTTCAAAGAGAATAAAATACCTAGGAATCCAACTTACAAGGGATGTGAAGGACCTCTTCAAGGAGAACTACAAACCACTGCTCAAGGAAATAAAAGAGGATACAAAGAAATGGAAGAACATTCCAAGCTCATGGGTAGGAAGAATCAATATCGTGAAAATGGCCATACTGCCCAAGGTAATTTATAGATTCAATGCCATCCCCATCAAGCTACCAATGACTTTCTTCACAGAATTGGAAAAAACTACTTTAAAGTTTATATGGAACCAAAAAAGAGCCCGCATCGCCAAGTCAATACTAAGCCAAAAGAACAAAGCTGGAGGCATCACGCTACCTGACTTCAAACTATACTACAAGGCTACAGTAACCAAAGCAGCATGGTACTGGTACCAAAACAGAGATACAGATCAATGGAACAGAACAGAGCCCCCAGAAATAATGTCGCATATCTACAACTATCTGATCTTTGACAAACCTGAGAAAAACAAGCAATGGGGAAAGGATTCCCTATTTAATAAATGGTGCCGGGAAAACTGGCTAGCCATATGTAGAAAGCTGAAACTGGATCCCTTCCTTATACCTTATACAAAAATTAATTCAAGATGGATTAAAGACTTAAACGTTAGACCTAAAACCATAAGAACCTTAGAAGAAAACCTAGGCATTACCATTCAGGACACAGGCATGGGCAATTTCCATAATTTTTATAGTTGCATAGTTTATCGTGTAGGGTGCTAATTTGTCTCACATCAACTTGAAGCTTCGGAAAAAACATGTCTTCAAACTGAATTATACATATCGCATAGGAAAGCTGTATGTATCAGAGAAAAAAGACACTGGTCTATTAAGCATTTTAAATACAAAAACTATGAGGTATAGAAACAAAGCACCAGAAGTACATGAAAAAAGGAATCTTAGGCACATAAAAAGTTCCCTCGCTGCATAGGGAAGATAGGTAACAGTGAAGGAGAAAGACGGAGTTAGAAGAGGCTGTAAAGTCACATTAGGTATGCATTAGAAATCCTCTTACAGGTTCAGGGCACTGGTATAACATCACAGGCCATGGGCCTGTTGGCTATATATGCTAGTTCGTAACTGGATTAGATTTTTTCCATTTACGTGTCACTATTTTACGGAAAACCAATCTCAAATTTTATTTTTTAAAAAAAGAGAAATAGAATTTGCTTCACAGCAGTTTACATTACAGTTATTTATTTCTCACTCTGTCTCCCAGGCTGGAATGCAGTGGCGTGATCTCGTCTCACTGCAACCTCCGTCTCCCAGGTTCAAGCAATTCTCTCGCCTCAGCCTCCTGAGTAGCTGGGATTACCAGGTGCCTGCCACCACGCCCAGCTAATTTTTGTAGTTTTGTAAAGACGGGGTTTCACCATGTTGGTCAGACTGGTCTCGAACTCCTGACCTCAAATGATCCGCCCGCCACGGCCTCCCAAAGTGCTGGGATTACAGGTGTGACCCACTGCGTCCAGCCTATGTTACAGCTAGTTCATTTTATAAATTATTCTATTCCTTCAAAATAAGGACAGCTATTAATGAAAGATTTCTTGAAAGTGCAAGACCTGCAGGTTTCAGAACTTAAAGTCATTCATGATCCTAACTGGCCCCCTCCTATTTCTACCCTCGTCTTGTCATTTGAAAGACAAGCCAGTGCTTCACTTTCATTGGATTTTTTCCCCCTGGTATTTTCATTTTTAATAATGGGAAGGCATAAACTAACACAGTAACAGTTTTAAAGTACTCATCATTTAAACCTTTATAAGGCTAGTAATGTAAAAGGTAAAGAAAAATGTATATGGGTTGTAATAAGGGTAGTTTTTTCTATTCACTGTTACTTGACTTTTATAGGGCAAAAATCATAGTAGAGACTATGTCATTGATTTTCAGCATGAAAGATATCAAAATTAAAATGGGAAAATGATACATTTAACATTGGTAAACAGGAATTTATCAAAAGACAAAGAAAAATTGCAGAAAAGTATATCAGTTAAACCATAATACTCAAATTGGAGTGGAAAAGATTATAATCCGACAGATATTTATCAAAAACTAACTTATAGTATTTAAAATGTGAAATTTGACTTCAGGGCAGGGCAACATATTTTAAACACAGGAAATCAGAACACAACACTTGAGCGAAACACTTAAGTTACCCTTAAGTAATCTTACAGGTGACTAATTTCACAGGCTCAGATTTAAAACTACGGTGCTTTAAATCTGAGTCTGTGAAATTAGTCACCCTTAAGATTACTGGCTAAAGATTTAATCTTCTCTCAAAAAGAAAATAAACAAGCTACCTGATTACAACAGTCTTAGAAAATAAAAATGAAATTTTCATTTATAGTATGAAACCTGTTACATCAATTCATTAAATATGATGTTCGACTCAACTTTTCCGTTGTTTAAATAGTGCTAAAATAATAGTATAGCCCAACCAGGGAAATCGTAAATATTTAAGATTACAATGTCAGTGGAAAACATTTTTCGCATGAATTAAAAGAAAAGCATTCATTTGAAAATATTCCCAAGTAAGAAGCCAAAATAATTCCATTAGAATTTTAAAAGGCCAGAAAGAGCAACCCAAAAATCCAGTGTGAAAGAAAACAATACCTATATAAACGTTAAGCAAAGCCAGGAATGTAGATTACTTTGAAACATCTACTTATTTCCATTTTAATGAAGAATTAAAGGATACAATGTGTTAAAGACATATTTAAAATACTAGCAAGGGATTAGACAGACGAATCAAATTTTGTTGATATCCCAAATAATTACAAGAGACTTCGAAAATGTAGTGTAATTCAGGTTTTCTTTCCAGTTTAAAAATTTCTATCCATTGCCTCTATCTTTGGTGTCACTGCCACCAATAAACACAGTATACAGCTTAGAAACCTAATTACTATCTTCAACTAGGAAAAGGTAAACCAACATCATTTCTTTAAAATGAGAAATAAAGAATGTGATCGTACTTAATTTTGTCTCATGGTCCCACAATACTCTGAAATGTCATGCCAAAATGTAAAAGTTCAAAAGGGAACATTATCATTTGCTATAATTGCACCAAAAATTTAGCTACTGTACGCTGGTGTGATGACAGCCAGTAGTATGCAGAGGCTACAGAAAGACATGTAGATATATATATATACACACACATATATATATATATCTCTTTAGCTCACAATTAGTAAAAGGTTCAGTTTAATGTGAAACTGAAACACACGACAACATAATGCGCCTTCATGTAAATACGCTAACAACTTTGTTTTCTTGAAGTTTAAAAGGATAGTATAATTACCTTAAATTTACACAAAACATTAAGAAACATGGTAGTTGTTTATGATTAAAATAAAATAGCAACGTAAATTAATTTAACACAGTGTTAAATATATTCACACGATCACCACTGTGATTCAAAATGGCCACTAATGCAGTTACATATCAATATATGTACATAACATTTGTCACAACAGTTTTTGTAAGTTTGACTTTCTGCAGACCAGGTTTACGAGACAAATAGCCTTGTATCAATTCTTTCATATTATGAAAGGAATTAAATGTTGTAAGTAGTTTCATTCCTCTGCAGGGGCGGGGGGGGAAGAACCTCTAAAAAGTCAGTGTAAATTGAGGAGAGTTCTACCTTCTTGAATATTTGAACCTGTTGACCTGGAGAGATTCCTATAAGCTGAGGATAAACACATCTTAAGATAGTAATGAATCTCATAACATTGTCAGTGGCATTTAGCAGGTATCTGCCACCAAGAGGAACACCGGGTCCTATAGCAGAGCCTTCTGAGAATATGGTTGCTGTGGCTGAGGTGGCTGTTGGCTGCCTCCGGGCTGAGGCAGAGTTGATGATGTTAAGTTATAGTTTGGCACCTGGGGCATATTAGGTCCTGCATTCTGGTACAGAGTGACATCGGCAGTTGCAGCAGCAGCAGTAGCGGCAGGAGGAGGACTATATACTGGCGCCTGGCTGGGATATGTGTTTCCTTGAACGGAACTGACCATTGTACTGTGGAGGAAGAAAAACACTCAATTACATCAATACTGATTTATAGAGCAACTACAGATAAATGGAAAAGCTATTTACTAAGCATTCATTCATATAGTCAATTCATTTAATAACCTTTTACTAAACAGCTATAATGTGCCAAACATTGTTATTTTAGGCTTTGTGATATCAGGCATTGCATTAAAAATATGTGTGTTATTTAACCATTGTGTAAAAAAAGTTGGGGGGGGTGGTTTGCGGAAATAAGTCTATACCACCATGGAGCGTCTGTTCTAGTGGTAGAAAAGGGTAACAAACACATGTATCGTGTGTCAAGTGGTTCTAACTGGTAAGAACAAAAACAAAGCCCAATACGGAGGACAAAGAGCAGCTGGGGCAAGGGATTCTAGTTTATGGTAGGGTGCCTCTCCAATAAGGCAATACTTAAGCAAAGATGTGGAAAAAGTAAGCGAGTGAGCCAGATAGATTCCCTAGGAAAGTACATTTCAGGTAAACAGAAAGAAGCCTTTGAGGAGAGAAAACACCAAGCATGTTCAAGGAACAGCAGGCCACGAGTGCTGCGGCAGAGGGGGCCGCAGGGGGTGCCGAGGGGAGAGCAGCTAAGATCACCGGCAGGACTGCGGTGGTGGGGAGGGGGCTGGAGAACACACAGCACCTGATGGCCACAATAAGGACTGTAGCTTACACTCTGAGTGAGACAGAAAGACACTGGCTCGTTCTGAGCAGAAGCGTGATAAGATTCCACAGGGTTTAACGGGCTCCCTCTGGACCAGGATAGCTGACTGCAGGTTATTACGATCCACCAGGAGAGAGCCGACCAGCAGAAGAGCCACGGCAGTAATGGTGGAGATGGGAGAAAGGGTCAGAGTCTAGATAGATTTTGAAGATAATGCCTTCAAAATATGATAATGAACAGAAGAGTCCAGAATGCCTGAGGTTTAGAACCTAAAAACTGGTAGAAATAACTGGTAGAGTGGCCATTCACTGATTTTCAGAATACTATGATGGGACCATAGTAGACTCGGGGGTGGGAGGGGTGTGGGGAAGATCAAAGTAATAATCTTGGATCTGTCAAGTTTGATGTCCAAAAAACTGGCAAGCAAAGAGAATGCATAGGCAGTCAGCTATTCAAGCCTGTTGTCCTGCATAGGCAATCAGCTATTCAAGCCTGCTGTCCTGTGGGGAAGTACGGAGGAGAAATACGCATCTGGGAATCCTCGGCAGATCCACGGCATTCAGAATCACCGGGCTTCATGAGGTCCCCTGGGGAGCGGCTGCAAACAGAGAAAAAGGCAGTCCATCTACTGTGCACTGGACCTTGAAGTCCAGAAGATAAAGAGGCAAGAGGCAAATGAGGCTGAGAAGAAGTGGCGGTGAGGCAGAAGGGAAAAGAGAATGGTCACCAGCAAGTGAAGAAAGCATTTCAGAAAAGAGGAGGGAATCACGAACTGTCAAATGGAGGAGGAGGAGAATGGTGAACTGACCGGGAGTCTAGCAGTATGGGCATCACCAGGGTTCTTGACAAGAACGGTCCCAAAGGACTAGTGGAAGGGAAGGCCTCATAACCTCATTTCTTTTATTTCCTTGAAAATACGGAAGCACACGCTCCAACACCACACTGATCAACTCTCTGCAGCTGCACCCCTCACGTACTGAGCTTCCCTACCGCTCCCACCGCTCCGCTGCCAGTACTCCCATCTCAAGTCCCTGCACTTGTGCACTGCTCCCATTAAAAAAAGAAAGAAAAAAATTCTTCAAAGGGTTGTCTTTATCCACTGCCTCTACTTCCTGTCTTCCTGTTTCCAACGGAATACATGCGTTTCCACTGTAAGACACTAGGTTAGCTATGTGAAGAGAAGTACTAAGATGCTGAGAATTCCCCCTACATTTGTATTAAAAATGTAAAACAAGCAATATAAAAAGCAACTGCCAAATTTTCAAAATACTGCCTACTTCTAAACTTTCCTCCAATTGTTATTTATAAATCTATTGTTGGGAAATTCAGTGCTCTTGTACTTGGCACAAATTCATTATTTGATGGTAATTTATTATAAGAGACGGTAATTTAATGCTACATTTCTCCAACTAATGTGGTGACCTAAGGCATTATTTGTCATCACTCCATATGTGTGAGATATAAAGTTGATTAGGAGATGTCAAATTTCATACTATTATTGACAATGGTATGGGCTATAATATTGCCGTAATATAGAGTCTATGCGCTGGGTTCTGGAGTCAGAATGTCTGGTTTAGAATCTTAGCTAAGTGGGACTTCCGTTTTGTCTCCAGGTCTCAGCTTCCCCATCTATAAAATGGGGGTAATAGTTTACCGACTTCACAGGTTATTATGAGGAATAAGTTACTTTGTGTAAAGCATACAGCACAGTGCTTGGAACATACTAAATACCCCTTAAATGTTAGCATTATTGTAATCATTCTCAATTTACAGTTCCACCGTCCACCCAGTTGCCTGGGGCAAAACCATGCAATTCACCAATACTTCTTTCTCTTATCTCTGCACTGAGCTGTCTCCCAACCATGTCACCCAATGTGTAATTATTTGCTAATCTCCTAAATAACTCTTTCCAATTAATAGCACTGTATCTTGCCAACAAATACTCATAATTTCTTGCCTAATATCCATGGTCTCCCAGCTTCTAATCTTGCCCCTATGAATCCATCTACGCTACTGCCATTTAAAGCCCTTTCTGAACTTTTTCATTATCCCTAAGATGGTATCTAGAACAAGCATTCTTCGACCTTGGCAGTGTCTTCAAGTATGTCTCTCGCTGCTCCCCTACACGCTTTCAACCCTTGGTAAGTGTGCTGCTGGAATGCCGATACATACCACGCCTTTCACACCTCCCATCTTTGCTCACTCCATGGGTACCATGCCATTCCAGGCTACCACATCTCTGACGTGACAGAACATCTTCCTCACTTTTTTTCTACTGGCTAAGAATAACCCTCTTGGAAAACTTCCTCAAACCCTGAGGCTCCTAAGGTACAAGGCATATATCTTCTTTATTTATAAATCATGTTGTATAAAATTATATTTTTTTATGTGTTTGCCCCTACTACTCAGTAAGCACCTTGAAGCTAAAGAAGACTCTCAGGTGTCTAACACAGTGCCTGGCACATGCTGACTGTAGTAAACTAAAATCAGAGACAAATAAATACATAAGCTTCAGTGGTCTCAAAATACTAACAGTAATTGTCACTTATTATCACCTTATAATACTACCATCGCTACAGGTAGCTTTAGAAAACCGTCATCAGTGACACCTTCCCCAACTAACAATAAGACTGTCCTAGGATGACAGAAGTCTGAAAAACAGTGAGCTTTAACACCAAAATTTTATGTAACAAGAGATAGCCTCTCAGATATATATAAACTGAGGAGTGCTAAAAAACCTGCCTACCAAAAACAACAACAATCCTCACTGACCTTGATTTGCCGCTAGAAAGCTCGAGTCAAATACGCAGGACACCTCTAGTAAGGAAATTTCTAACCCTGGCCCTCGCTCCTTCCAATTTCCTCATCCTACATTTGCTCTACCAGCAATTCCTCATTTCCCCGTTGAAACACACAAACACACATCTGTTTTTATATATTGATAAACAGATATTACATATTGTACCTTTATATATAGATATTTAAATGGCCTCTAAGCCTTTGTGAAGCCTTTGCAAGGAATTTTTAAAAAATACACCTAACTGGTCTAATATAGCACTTGAAATTGTCATTAACACTAAAACATGTATTCATAAAATATTTACTGAGTTCCTAGCCAGTGTAAAACTGTGTGCTACATAGGATGGCTATAGAGGTGAAAGACAGTGCCAGCTCTCAAGATACTGTCTTCAGTGGGGATACAAACAAGTAAAAAGGCAACTACCAGCCAGGAAACGGAAGTACACACACAGTCCTCTGACAGCACACAGGAGGAACAGTGCTGAGAGGTGGAAAAGCAAGGAAGATGTCCCAGTAAAAATGCAGCTAAGCTAACAACTAAAGAATATGCAGGAATGAGCCAGGACGAGAGGGCTAAATATTTCAAGAAAATGTTCTTCAAAAGACACCTGTTGAAATAAACATGTGTTCCTTGAGAGGTGACATTAATAGCTACACTCTATGGGTAGGGTTGGGCCTATGCCAGGGATTTCACATCCCGAATGCAGAAGCAGAGTCACACACAGAGAACAGCAGCAGGGTACCACAGCGCTACAGAACTTCACTGTTAAAGCACCTACCAACAGGTTATCTCATTCACAAGGATAATTTCCCAAGGCCCCGACCTTGAAGAATGAGTCTCAAGTAATCTCTAGTAACAAGGAAGGTAGAGCAGCATGTGACATAGTCAAACAGAGGACTAGCAGGGGAAAAGTGGCAGTTCCGGCTAATACTAAAATAGCTGCAGGGTCCTATTAAGTCAGGAACCCTAGTGTCTTCTCAACAATTCCTACCTTCTAGCCCCTTTGTATCTAGTTGTAAAGCAACATGCTACTCTAAGAACAGCTGTTTATTTTCCAGAAGGGTATTCATTTCCACCAGATTTCAACTTAAAAAAAAATCCTGCAAGAGTGCAAGCTACACTTAACACTTTTTTCTAAGATACAGAACCCACTAGGGAATGCCCTGTTTTCTGACATGTGGGCCTTGCCATCATCCCCCTTAAGGTCACTTCGGGATACTAGATCTGACAACCGAATAATGCTTGAAAATCCCCAAGCATCTCTAACACGTAACTCTTTGAGGATGAGTAGTGCAAGAGAGGGCAGTGCAGGAGCATTCCTGGGCAATCCTAACACTGCTGGAAAGGTTTCTAGAAGTTGTGCCTGTGCTACCTAGAAACTTCTGTTGCCAGCTAGAATGTCGTAACTTCTAGAATACACGTTGGTAAACTCTTAAAAGCCTATCCTTTATTTGCTTCAAGGAAAAGATTTCAGCTCAGAGTCCCATTAAAGCAGAAAAAACACACAATAATCATTTAACTACATGACAGACAGCACTGTAAGTAAATGGCAAAGTAAATGGGCCTCTGTCATCACATATTCAGCCATCTGCCTCCTGAGAAACAAGGGTGCTTACCTTCTTATTATCTTCTTGTTTCAAATGGGGTACCTTGATATAATATAAACTAAATTCCAAAACAGGGCAAAAATAAGAAAATATTTGTCTTAAAGAGACAGCTCAGAACTATATATTTTAAAATAACGGAATTTAGATTTTATACAAAATGTGTGGAAAAATGACAAATTATAGTCACTAAACATAAATTTCATTAAAGACATTATCAAATATCATAGATGCAAATAAAAACAACAATAAAAACTTATGGTTAGAGTAGTATTAAAAATATAAGGCTGAAACCAGATTACATGAGTTGAGCGAGTCGGGAGCAGAGGACCAGCTTGCTGGCTGGTACTGGAATACCACAGAGGCTCCACCACTCATTAGCACAAATGGGGCGGCCGCATGACGCTGACCACAGATATTTATTAGCCAGATTTTATAGTTATAGATAACTGGGGGCACTTAAACAGCTGTAACAGCACTAACTCCAAACAAGAATCAACAGTAAAATTACTTTGGGTAAGCGGCCTGAGTCTGCTGACTAGGAAGGGCTGGGTTTGCGGATGGTGGGACCACTGCCTGGCTGAGAGAAGACAGCTGCTCCGGGGGAAGACTGTAGCTCTGGAGGTGGCTCATCTGCGCGTTCCCTGCAACCAGGTAGGCACCACTTGGAGGAGGCCCTGCATACACCTGCGATGGTTAAAGAGAAATCATATTCAATTCTAAAATTTTAATAAGCATACTGAACTTTCTCTGTAGAGGTATTCAGTTACAAAAACAAGAAAAATCACCACTCTGGAATCCTTTTTTCAAAGTTATTTCTGTCAACGGGCATTTTGAAAAACGCTTTTCAATGAAATAGGCTGTTGATGGTTTTCATTTTTAGTTAAACATATGCTAAACTCATGTTATCTCCATACTGAAGCATTAAAGAAACTTATCCTGAAACTTTATACTAATCTCCCTTTACATTAAATATATTTTAATATTCTGCATGTTGGTATTTTTTAAGGAATCCCAAAGGATATTTAGAAAGTGTATTTGAACTCATTGTTTTGTAGCCATAGACTGCAATGGATACAAGTCACATTTCCTAAACTGCAGTTTATTGAACAATAGAGCAAGCTAACTTTCTAAAGCAGGGGTCAGCAAACTTTTTTGTAAAGGGCCTGACGTAAATATTTTAAGTTTTGTGGACCATGTAGTCTCTGACACAACTACTCGGCTCTGTCAGTAAATCAGAGTGGCTGTGTTCTGATAAAAGTTTATTTAAAGCCGCCAGGCATGGTGGCTCATGCCTGTAATCCCAGCACTTTGGGAGGCCGAGGCAGGCAGATCACGAGGTCAGGAGATCGAGACCATCCTGGCTAACACAGTGAAACCCCGTCTCTACTAAAAATACAAAAAATTAGCCAGGCGTGGTGGCGGGCGCCTGCAGTCCCAGCTACTCGGGAGGCTGAGGCAGGAGAATGGCCTGAACCCAGGAGGCGGAGCTGGCAGCGAGCTGAGATCGCGCCACTGCACTCCAGCCTGGGCGACAAAGCAAGACTCCGTCTCAAAAAAAAGTTTATTAAAAAAAAAAAAAACAGGCAACAGGCTGGATTTGTCTACTTCTGTATTTCAAAATGCATTTTTTTAATCTAAAGAGATTGAAGTCTTAACTACCCAAAGTCTAAAACACATAATGTCCTAATTTTCTGCAGTATTCATTAGATCCTTCCATTTAGCACTTCTGTTAAACGACAGACCCACACAGGGATCCAAAGGGTCTTCATTATAAACACAGCTATACCAGTCCTCCTAACTTTATTTTGTCATTCTTCGAAAATTGAACATGAAGGTTTTTTGCTTCCTTGTCTCAAACTGGTGATCAAGACTCTAAAGCAGGTGCCCTCTAGCCCCAAGTTTCTTGGGCCTAGCTGTTCATCTACAGGGTGCTGGCCCCTCATTCTGCTAAACGTTAATCTGAACACAGTCCGTGCCCACTTTACATGGAAAAAATGGAGTATCTGGCTAGTTTTGTTTTTATTTATTATTATTATTATTATTATTTTTTGAGGTGGAGTCTTGCTCTGTCGCCCAGGCTGGAGTGCAATGGCACGATCTCGGCTCACTGCAACCTCCGCCTCCCGGGTTCATGCCATTCTCCTGCCTCAGCCTCCCAAGTAGCTGGGACTATAGGCACCCACCACCACGCCAGGCTAAATTTTTTGTATTTTGAGCAGAGACAGGGTTTCACCATGTTAGCCAGGATGGTCTCCATCTCCTGACCTCGTGATCCACCCGCCTCGGCCTCCCAACGTGCTGGGATTACAGGTATGAGCCACCGCACCCGGCCAGTATCTGGCTAGTTATTCCCTATAACCTCACCTCACCGTGATGAGTTTGTGAAAAGGGGGTCCTTGAAATAGTTGCTTGGGGTGAAAAGAAAGCAAACGGCTCTACACTGCATTGCATGCATTCTCATGTAAAGCAGGGAAAATTCCAGATTAAAGCAGTTTTTAAATTATGGAAATATATTTTGTTGGTTTGTAATAATAAAAACAGGTTTTTACCTCATTTTTTTTTCACTGCATTTAAGTTTTCCTTTTAAGGATAACTAGAAGTTCATTAGATATTTAAGAGAGTTTTCTTAGCTCTAAAAGCATTTTGTGTTTTTTACGAAACTACTTTATTGAGATATGTCTGACCTGCAAAAGGCTATACATATTGAGTGTACACAACCTGATGAAGAACTAAGGTTCTTAAGTAAATAATTACATACGAAGCTTTAAAAATATGGGCCTCGGCCGGGCGCGATGGCTCACACCTGGAATCCCAGCACTTTGGGAGGCCGAGGCGGGTGGATCACGAGGTCAGGAGATCAAGGCCAACCTGGCTAACACGGCGAAACCCCGTCTCTACTAAAAATACAAAAAAATTAGCCTGGCGTGGTGACGGGCGCCTGTAGTCCCAGCTACTCAGGAGGCTGAGGCAGGAGAATGGCGAGAACCCGGAAGGCGGAGCTTGCAGTGAGCTGAGATTGCAGCACTGCACTCCAGCCTGGGCCACGGAGTGAGACTCCGCCTCAAAAAAAAAAAAAAAAAAAAAAAAAAAGGGCCTCAACCCTGAGGATTCTGATTCAATAGGTCTGGAGTGGGATGGATATATCTGTAATTTTTTTCAAAAGTGTGATGGCTGATTCTGCTGCATAACCCTGTATAAAAGCTATTTCCTTTAAACAACAACAACAACAAAAAACTATTAGCATAATTAGTATATTATATGCTGTAACTGCCAAGTAAAAAAATTCCGTTAAACTTTATTTTAATTTTAAACATTAGTTTTAGAAAGTTTCAAACAGCTATTCCAAATAATCTCAAATGCATTTGAGAATTTATTTATTTATTTATTTATTTTAGAGACAGGGTGTCGCTGTTGCCCAGGCTAGACTGCAGTGGTGTGAACACGGCTCACTGCAGCCTCGACCTTCTGGGCTCAAGCTATCCTCCCACCTCAGCTTTTCGAGAGCAGGGACCAAGGAACATGCCCCAGCCTGGCTAATTTTTTTTTTTTTTTTTGGTAGAGACAGAGTCTCACTATGTTACCCAGGCTGGTCTTAAACTCCTGGTCTCAAGCAATCCTCTTGCCTTGGCCTCCCAAATTGCTGAGATTACAGGCATGAGCTACCACACCTCACTGTGCATTTGAGAATTTAAAACAACATGGGCTTCTAAAAGCTTACCTGAGAACCAGAAACACCAGATGACTGCATATAATATGGCTGATTCTGTAACTTTGCATACATGGAATACATCGGATCTTCGTTCATTAACTTGGTATATAAGGAAAGGGCCTCCATCACTTTCACATTAAGTTCTGAGAGTTCTGAATGTTTTCTGAAACATGACACAATAATTTGAAGCATAGCTGTTACTAAAATGATATAATGCTCTAAATAATGATACATCAAAATATCAAAAATGGCAAAAAGTAGTACTAGTAGACATTATTAAAAATTTCACTTATAACAAAAATATCCTGCATTTTAGCCCTGAAGCAACCCAAACTGTTTAAGGTTTACGTGCTGTGCTAAGGGAACTCCGTCTTATCGTACCTGACTGTACCAGAAATATCTTGGTTTCCCTAGTTACTAACATATGGGTCATTTGTGAGCTCTGGTAATGCCACTTCAGCAAAGAGAATTACATAGCTAGCCCTTGTTTTTAAAACGACCTATCTACGCTGGTCCTTTTGACTATATTGCAAAGGTCGATCAAATCCTCACTTTAAAAAAAAGGACAAATGAGTCTAATTCTCCACATCTAGCACAAGATATGTGAATGAGAGTTGGTTCCTCCACAATATTTTTTTTTTAAAAGGCAGTTATAGCCCACTTTGCAGTACAGTGATAGCTTCAGGAAAGAAGGTACACAACATAAATGCACCCATGTTCTTTTACCTATCAATATCTTCCAGCTTTTCATCAATGAGAGGTCCCATCTGGTGACACATTGCTAAAATGACAAGATGTGAAGAAATATAAGAAAGTACAAGAAAAAAAAATGTGAACCTTTGATAGATATTTGTATAATTTAAGGAATAAAAGATTTAATTTGGAGTAATAAAAATATACATTCTTTAACCTTAGTCTACAGAACCCAAAATTGATTTTCTTAAAGTATAATGGTGACAACTTAATCTAAAATATTAATCTGAAAATCTTAAAGTGCCATTTTTCATTTTACCAGGTTCTAAAATGTTGAACAGAACACTTCGTTTGGATAGAAAATTATAAGAATTCAAATTCTACCCAAGGTTTCAACTGCATATGAGAGTGAGCCTGGGTCAAGGAGAAGTGAGAAATGTTCCATTTTTAATATTATCCTCAAAACCCATTCTTTAACAGGACACCAGTTATTAACCTCTAACTACTCTTTATTTGCAAGGTAAATAGAAAAGTTTTACCTTCAAGATGAAGCAGCTCTGGTAGGTCTGGCTGATCATCACTGGGGTCTGTACTTTGCAGCATCTGTAGCAACTGGTCCATTTTATCCTACAGGAATTAAGTAGTTAATATAAAAAGCTACCAACCTTTAGGCAACTTTATGTTTTCACTTTATTATCAACTAGACAAACTTTTGAAATTCATAGTTATGGAGACTCCAATTTTGCTTTTATGTTGTCAGTGTCCCATGTATTTATTCTCTCTAGTACTGCATGAAGTCAGAGCCTTGAAAGTACTTCCTATATATTTTTGAAACTGCTCAGGAGGCTGAGGTGGGAGAATCACTTGAGCCCAGGAGGTCAAGGCTGCAGTGAGCTATGATCTCGCCACTGCACTTCAGTCTGGACAACAGTGCAAGACCCTGTTTAAATAAATAAATAAACCAACCAACCAACTGCTAACAGAGATTCTCTTAAGCGAGAAGAAATCAAGCCACATTTAAACTTACAATGCGTGAGTTCTTCCACCTCTTATGTCATGCCAGAGGATTTTGCTTTGTTTCGGAGCAGCTTTAGCTTAGCCATGCCAACAAGTGTACTATCCATCTCAAGATGGCATTGCTTATGACTAACAACTTGTCATTCCTACTTGCCCATGGTGAATACAGCAGCTGTTTCAGTAAGGCAGAGCTCAGCTGTATCACAGCTGCTCTTCTAAGTGGGACTCTTAGGGTTTATTCCACATTTTCTTTCTACCAGTGTTTCAGTTGGTCATAAAAGGAAGGAGGAAGACTAGTGGTTTCTCTATTTTCCTATTTGGGAGAGGCTGGAAGGTACCTCAAACCAGTGACACAGATCTATTTCAGAATCTTTTGTTGTACAGACCAATGGAATGAATGAAACCATTATTACATACACACATCTATACGATATATAAGTATATATGTATTTATGTTTTTTAAAAAATCCAAACAGATCTACTTTACCATGACCACTACTAAAATAATTACAAACCTTTCTCCATGCATGGTTTTTACATGGTTATGCTACTATATATAGGTACGCAGGGCAAATAAAGACTACTAATCCTAAGCAAAGTAATTATTTAAAATTTAAAAACTATGTTCTGTGTAAAAGGAAAATAGCTTGAGAAACGAATTAATCATCAGAGAGTGAAAGTGACATAAGTATGCTAAAAAAAAAAAAAACTCTTCCCAAGTCAAAATAATTCTGTTTTTTTGAAATGGATACCAATTTTCAATGTAAATTATTCACAATTTTCATTTTAAGCAGTCTTAAAAAACAAAAGCACATGTCAAGAAAGTTTGCCTACCACACACAAAAAAAGGTCAAATGAAAGTGAGAGTCCATTAACACACAGATGGTTTCCGTTTTGTTTGCTTACAGAATACTATACAATATTTAAAATTATTTAGTGTCAAAGAAGTAGGGTTTCTACATAGATGATTAGTCTGCTTCTGCAAGTATTTTCTTTTCTTTTCTTTTCTTTTCTTTTTTTTTTTTTTTTTTTGAGATGGAGTCTTACTCTGTCTCCCAGGCTGGAGTGCAGTGGCATGATCTTGGCTCACTACGACCTTCCGCCTCCCAGATTCAAGCGATTCTCCTGCCTCAGCCTCCCAAGTAGCTAGGATTACAAGCGCACACCACCACGTCCAGCGAATCTTTGTATTTTTAGTAGAGACGGGGTTTCACCATGTTGGCCAGGATGGTCTCAATGTCCTGACCTCGTGATCTGCCCGCCTCGGCCTCCCGAAGTGCTGGGATTACAGGCGAGAGCCACTGCGCCTGGCCAGCATTTTCTTATATAATGCAATCAGCCAAACATCACTTCTCCTAGCCCAGGTGGATTCCTTGCCCTTAGCACAGTCTTCCACAGTCTGTTTCGCTCTTCAAATTTTGTTTCTGCCTCCCATAAAAGATTGCTAAAAGCCCATAAACCCCTTCACATATTTCAAAGATAACATCTCATTTCTTATACATTTAAAATGTTACAAAGGATAAGATTCCCAGGACATTAAGTGTTGACATTTTAAAATAAAATAGTCAAAAATTCCTTTAAATATAGCCAAAGGAATTTAAACACCACAGCAATCTGCACTCACCATTACCATTCAAACAACAGTCTCTGTCATGTATTTCAAATTGTTTTTTTCCTTGAACTTATCATATTTCTACTCAATTTCCCCTCCAAAATTTTATCCTAATATACTTGAAAGTTTTCTACCGATGACCATATGGGATTTCTTTGCACTAAAAGTATGTAAACTGATAATACTCTCAGTATTAGATTCATTCATATGTATAAGGTAATGATTATTATTATTAATATGCAAAGGGTCAAAACAACATTAACTATATTTCAAGTTTTGAAAAGTAAAATGAGCCAGGATTCAGCACCAGTTCTATTCCTATTTTTTGTTTTTATAGTTGAAAGTGAGGAGAAATTTTGTTCATATAATCAAGCTATTATAGCAATTTCATTAAGTTCTTTCGGTATCTTCTGAAAGATGGAATGGAATGACAGTGGTCTGTCATTAAAAATTATTTTTAATGATCTACTAGCTGAAAATTCATTTTGGTCCTATTTTTTAAAAACAAAAAATATGGAACCATCTCAGCTGTGTTAACTAGTCATTAGAGCCATGACTTTCTTAATACCAAAACCAGTATATGAAATCATCCCTGGTAATTCTTATACTCTGAGGCAATGTACCACAGTAATCTTCACTACGGGCAAGCGGTAAGCCTTTCTTCCGTAAAGTTGGAGAGAAGAATTGAAAAGGGAGAGGAGGGGGGTAAAAACGAAAATGGTAGGAGAGAATGTTCTCGGGCAGATCAATTTTAGGAAAGAATGCTATGGTAACTGAGGATCGGAAAAGATTCTCTTTAAATTATCCATACCAAGGGCCAAGCAAACTTTTTCTGTAATGGCCCGCCAGTAAATATTTCAGGCTTTGCAGGCCATATGATCTCTGTTGCTACTACTCAATTCTTCCACTGCAGCACAAAAGCAGCCAAACAATATATAAACAAATTTATCTGTGTTCCAATAAACAGGCAACAGGCTAAATTTGGCCTAAGAGTTTGCCAACTCCTGATCTATACAATGTGACACTTCAAAAATCCTTAATGGTTTGCTAGTTGCATAATTTAATGTATTATTAACTCAACAGTTGTTAATGTTATTTTTAAAACATGGTAATAAGTTTGAGTAGAAAAAGACAACCACAAACATACTTTTTATTTTTTCATAAACACGCTTAAAGATGAAAAAGGTAGCCAGTTTTAATCTTTTCTTTATATGCAGTAACAGCAGATATTTCTATAAAACTTAACTAAATAGGAGTGATTAACTTAATTCAAGAAATCTCAAATTTAAATCCCAATAATACCAATTTGGGTACCATTATGTGGCTCCAAAAAGTATGGTGTGTCACCAAGTTGATATTATATTTTTGAGCATAATTACTAAAAATATACATTGTTTCAGGTGTGACAATGACATATGAAGACATTTAATATAAAATTAGCGTAAGCTTTTCCTCAAATACTAGAAAGTGTTCAACACAAGGAGGAATCATGAATCATCTCCAATGATATTCAATATATTAGCACTGCTTTTATGCAATGATTTATGTAGAAGTAATTTAATGACAATTTTATTTTTACAACAGTAATTTATTTGTTTCAATAGATAGTCAATGAGTGTCCCTTCCTCAGTCATGTGCAAACAATCTTAATATCCTTGTTGAGTATGCTGGGAAACAGGAGTTCTCGCATGATATGAATACGAGTGTAAAAACTTGTTTTGCTCAACAATTTGACATTATCTATTAACATGGAAAATACACAAATCCTTCAACTCAATAGTTTCACTCCTGAATATCTACCCTAAAGAAACACAAAGATAGATGTTCAAAAAAAAAAAAAATCTCACTACTACACTGTAAAAACTGTAAACAACCTAGGCATTCAACAATAGATTAAATAAATCATGGTAAGGCCACTCTACAGAATATTCAGCAGGAATTTAAAATAATGAGGCTCTGGCACGGCAAACAAAGGACTGGAGAGGAAGTTTCAAAAAACAGTCTGCATCGTCTATATTGCTTGAATTTTTATAAAAAAATACAAAAATTTTTACAACAAAAAAACTCAAGTAATCAATTTTTTCTTAAAGCAAAACCATTTAAATTTCAATACAAAGTACCAACTCCTATCACCATGGAAACCACTTACTTCATCAATAAAGGCTGGTTCCGGCTCTGGTTCTATTGTCTCTACCTGAACATCATCACTAAATTGTACCGTCTTCTTCTCTGTTTTAACTGTAAGATATGTAAAAGTTATCTTTTTTTAATAATACATTTAAAATTCTACTTTAAAGCACTTTAACTTCCAAGAGAGATTTGGGGATTTTTCTTATACTCCCAGCAAGCTAAAAGGCGCAATTTAAGAAATAACTGAGTTGCAGATTTTGGCAGTAATAACACAACATTACTTTATGAAATTGGATTTCTTAATTTTCTCTTGTAAACATTTTACAGTTTCCATAAAAAGAGATTTCACTAATAATAAGAGTTGTATTTCTGAAAAAAGGTTAATCACCTACTACACATCAGAGTTTAGTAAGCTGGAGGACAAAAGCAAAGTTTTACAATGGCCTAAGTGAATTCTGCAATTTAAAATAAACCCTCTTTTTAAATTACTAATCCTTCAAGAAAAAATCTCATTTGGTAGAAAAAAAAAATCTGGTTTGACAGAAAATCCACACTACTCCAATGTAATGAATGGGAAAATCAGCTATGTATTATCTGGCGTGCCACGTAGGCGTTTAGAGAGCGCCGTCCATGCCAGTGGAGAACTTTGCAGGTGGCCTTGACAGGGGTCTCAGTCTTCCAACAAATCAGCCTGTATTTTCTAGTTATATAATATTATCATTTGACATTAAAAAGTGGTCATTGAGGGATCAACAATTCATTGGCCAGAAGCACAGATTTCTCCTACTCACCAAAGCAATCTTTAAAAACAATTTAACATAACAGTAGCTATATAACAACCTCCAAATACTACTGAAAGGCATATACAACTCTACTAAACAAACTTCCTTTCTATATTTTTAATCCTTGCATCAATGTGGTCAATCAATTCATAAAAATATTAAGAATCATGATGGAAAGGAAGACAGGAGGGGGCAATTTAAGGAAGGGAAATAATGTTTATTAAACTATTGAATATGCTTGATGGAATATTACATTTCCTCCAATGAATCTCCCAATCTTATGAGATATGCCCTTTTTATAAATAAGGTAGTTTGGAAAGATTAAAAACTTTTGTAAAAGAGAAAGCTAATAAATGACAAAGCCTGGATTTGAATGCCAATCTATCTTGCTCTACTAGCCCATACTACTGAAATCTGGCCTGTGCCAGTGATTTTACCCCGAGAACATGAAGTCCAATCACTTGGGTACTCCGTGTTGTGTGCTTCTGTATAACACAGAAATAGCTTAATTTCCAACCTAAGAAATATAATCATTCCATTCAAGTCACCAAAAGCAAAATTCTACAGCTGATTCATTTTCCTATAAAGGAAAAGAAACATCTGCTGCAGACATTTTGCTTTTTATATCTTGAGCTATTACAAGTAGAAAGCTGGGATAGCACTGCATTGGCCATTACCCATAAGAAAAACATGGCAGACTTCATATTCTAACAGCTCTTGACGCGCAAGTTTGCAACCCCTTTTCTCACAGGAACTAATACTATGTGTGTGTAAAAAAATATATTATTTATATACAATATATAACAAAGGGATTTCACAATATTTTACTGTATCTCCAAACCAAAAGCAAGCTAAATAGGGCAGCTATTTCTCTTTGACAGGCTAAGTGAAATAGACTTCTATTTCCTCAAAAGAATGATGCTCTGGGGATCATGCTAGCACCTGCACCTGTTCTCCACGCTTGAGAACTACAACCCCACTACATAGGCTCTGATGCTTCAGTTTCTCTTTTAGATCGTCCAGAGTGAAAAACATGAGAAAAACTAGAAAACTCATATTGAAGCTGCATTGCTATATGACTTAAAAAAAAAAAAAGATGAAATGGCTCCAGGATCTACATGAGATCCTTGACCTTATCTTGAACAGAACTCCAAGCAATTCTATCCTCTCCAGGAACTGATTCAGGACAAAAAAATAGTCCAAAAACAAACAAAACATCATTACCAGCCCAGGTTATTAAAAAGTCAGCACACTACGCAATGCCATTTAAACAAGGTTGACATGTTTTTGAATTCTCACAGACATAGAAAACATCATTGAAAGACTGGGTCTCACCAATCTGTCTCTATAAAAATGACACCAGACACCCTGGCAATAACTATGAGAGCGCACCATTTTCTTAAAGATCTGTAATTTCTGGTTTGCTGTTCAAGCCTTCTCTTGAAAGAGAAGTGAAGTATCTCTTTATTGTTAACATATATATTTCTGTATCATTTATTCTATAAATATGTAGTATGTATTATAAGACTCACTATTAGGAGCTGCTGGAAATAAAAAGATGACCAGGACAAAGATTTTTTTTCTTAAAATTCTTATAAACTAAAAAACACCTAAGCATCTTGTGGTTTGTAATTTTCTTTGATCCCTTCTATCTAGCATTAAAAAACGATAATGAGATATTTTGCCAAATAACTGTAGCATATCAACCTATACATATAAGCTCTTTAAAAATTTTAAATATTTTATTACAAATACAAATCTTTCTAGATTTGAACATATTTTTCTGTTTTCCTAGAGGGGAGATTATGACTTAAACTTTGCTTGATGACTAAACTCATCATTATGAAGATTCATTAAAGCACAATATTATGTAGAAATATAGTAAACTGTCTCTCACTACTTTGACCGACTATGTAGCTATGTCTCCTGAAACTGTTAAGCCTGCCACTAGTATCACTTTTTCTCCACGGCCCCACTTTCTAGTTTATTATCCTACTCAGCAGGGTTTGTAAATCAAACAAAAAACTTTTATATGATTAGTAAAAATGGCTCCTTCTGAATATCTGACATGTTGCTTGGAGAACACTGCTTTCAAGTCTGGGACTACACACTAGAGAAACGGTCCCAACCTTTGAACAAGAAAAATCCTCCCTGAGGTTATACTGTACTTGTCACACTGTAATCAACTGGTAAGAAAAATATATAATGTATAAATTCTGTAAGACTTCTTAATGAATTTGCATTTTTACAATGACCTCTACATAGATACATATGAAAAAGAAAAGTTAGGCCAGGTGCGATGGCTCACGCCTGTAATCCCACCACTTTGGGAGACTGAGGCGGGTGGATCACCTGAGGTCAGGAGTTCAAGACCAGCCTGGCCAACATGGTGAAACCCTGTCTCTACTAAAAATACATACACACACAAAAACAGCTGGACATGGCGGCGGGTGCCTGTAATCCCAGCTACTCAGGAGGCTGAGGCAGGAGAATCACCTGAACCCAGGAGGCGGAGGTTGCAATGATCCGAGCTCGCACCACTGCACTCCAGCCTGGGCAACACTGCTCTAAAAAGTTCAGTTTACTCAACTTCCATTAAGAAAAGGATTAGAAAACATCATTTATTGGCAGGCTGGAAAATACTTACTCATTTCTGGTTCAGCAGTGAGATCTGCAGTCACAAAATTAGAAGGAAATAACCCTATGCCTTGATGGGTTTCACCTTTCCACCAGTTAGGATCACTATGACAAACAAAAAACAATGCTTTACCATAACAAATGTATTTATTTCTGTACATCTTTATCTTTTGTAGTATTCAACTTACACTATTACAAAATTTGAATCTCACAATAACCCACTGAAAAAGCCAATGAATCTTCCTTTATTACAAAAGAAGAAGAAGCCTCAGAAAAGGTAAGAAGCTATTCAACACACAGTTGTTTATCTTCTTGACTGCCAATGCATGCTCTGCAGTTATGGACTCTCTCCCAAAAAAAGAGGCACCAATACGAAAAAATTGTCAGCTTCAGATGGTTCACAGGCTCCAGAGTAAGAAGTCTTTGTAATGAGCTATAAAGACAGGCTCTTATTTTCAGTCTCCATTCCTAAATCATTGCTCTTTCTGGTACACAGCAGCAAGGTTTTTTTTTTCTCCCAACAGAACGAATGTCAAAGATGACACTGTTCACAGTGCAAAACATTCGCAAAGAGTACACTCCTAGGTGTAAACTCTAGTATATGGAAAGCTAGCAAGCACTCAATACATGTTTTTGAAAGAACAGACGTAAGGTTTTGGGCAATTTCCAGCTAACCAGCTCAAACTTTATTTTCTTCCACTCAAAAAAAAAAAAATGTTAAAATATGTCTGAATGTTTGTGTCTTCCCAAAATTCACAGGTTGAAATCCTAACCCCCAAAGCAATGGTATCAGAAGGTGGGGACTTTGGAAAGCGATTAAGTCATGAATGAGATTAGCGACCTTATAAAAGAGACCCCAGAGGGCTCATTTGCCCCTGCTGCCATGGGAGGACACAGCAAAATGACAGCCTTCTACAAACCAGAAAGTGGGCCTTCAACACACAGTCAATCTGTCTGTGAGAAATAAATTCCTGTTGTTTATAAACCAGTTAGTCTACGGTAGTTTGTTACGGCAGCCCAAATGGACTAAGGCAGTAAGTAAGAGAGACACTACAGGAAGAACTTTAAATCAATTTGAACTGATTTTTAAAAAACACCTGCAAATTTTAATACTTCATTATCAGTAACAAGCATCAGTAACAATTCATTTTCAAGTAAAACATCACAAAGCTATAGTAAAAAAATAAACTGATGCACTGTATCACCTCCTGAATAAATGTGTAATTCCATACAAAATAAATTTGTTCCCTATGGCTATACTGTTCTGTGTAAAAAAAACTCAATAGATTATATATTTCTTACAAATTGCATTAAGTACATATACATACTCAGTGTTTTTCTAAAACTGTAACCTTTTAAATAATGTAACCATCTATATTATTAGGTGGAACCGAAAATGAATAGATTAAACTAGGCCTCCAAAACAAATTATAAACTAAGTAATAAATAAGAAAAAAATTAAACAACAAAATAAGAATCCACCCAGTATAACACAAGCAAATCAGCCAACTGTCATACAGAGCAGCATCTGGGTCAATATTTATTATTGTATTTGGTAACTGCAATCAACAGGAATAATATGAAACACAGAAGCCATACACACTTTCATACAAATTTTAAATGTAATATTAACATTACCTGTCATCAAGAACTGTAATAATTTCTCCAGCTTTAAAAGTAAGTTCATTGTCTTCAGCAGCTTCAAAGTCATATATAGCACGAACTTTTCGGCCTTCATGTTGGTGGTTAGTTAAGAGACTGGATGTGCTTGGATACAAAGTGGAAAGGGTGGTTGACTGCTGCCTTTGTTCCTTGAGAGACAACTCAATGGCTAGAAAACAATGAGTTTTTAAAGACCCAAAATGTTATTATATCCAACAGTCTGAAGAAGTAGAAAAAGACATCAAGATAAAAGGTATTCTTCCTTCAATAGTATAGTTAGAAACTAGAACATATCCTGATACATTGAACAAAAATCATTTTGTCAGTTTATTCATTCATTCACAACTGAAAGTTTAAAAATAAATTAACAAAATTGGAACAGCATGAAAACTCCTATTTTTACTGAACAAATACAATGTAAATTATTCTGGGTAATAAAAAATACAAACTCTTAAATCTACTTTTCTTTTTTAGCTGCAGATATTTTCCTTGACCTTTTTTTCAAAATAATCATCAAAACTGCCTGGAAAGTCAAGAATATCAAGCTTCACTGCAGACTTAATAAATCAAAGCCTTAAAGGCAATCTTGGAGAATCGAGATTTTATTGCTCCAAGGGTAATTCTTACCAGTCTAAAGACTCAACCTAACAAATCCTCCAAAATAGATCTCAAACGTGTCTCTATCTCCACCACTACTTCCCAAGTGCAGACCATCACCATATGTCACTCAGGCTCTGAAATGTAATATCAGTGCATTGATTATCCTGCTTTCAATTCAACACAGAACCCTTTCTGCTCTTCCGCTCTTGTTTTAGAGTAATAAAAGAAACAATACGAAAACAAAACTTTAAAGCTACTAAAAGTCAATACAGAAAACTATCTTTTAGGACCTTGAGGTAGGGAACAATATTTTTCAAAAGCCATTACAAAGTAAAAATCATAATAAAAAAGCAAACAACTCTGGCCTTCACAAAACTTAAAATTTCTACTTGATAAAATACACCATTATCAAATTTAAGGTCAAAAACCAGGAGTAGATACCTACAATAATTACAACAGATAACAAACTAATATTTCAAATAAAGACTTGTACATATCATTATTTTATTTAACAAAAGACAATTTACCCAAGAGAAAAACATAATGACCAGTGAATATACAAAAAAAGAACTCAGTCTCACTAGCAATCAAAAAAATAAAAATTAAAATAACAGGACATCATTTTAAACCTACCAGATTCATGAAAGTTAAACTCTTTAAGACTACCAAGTGTTGTCAGATTAATAATAATAGCTTTCATACACTGCCAATGGAAAAGGAAATCATAACAACCATTTAACAAAACTGAAGATGTACCAATGCCATGATCCAACAATATTGCTTTTAGTCACACATAATAGAGACGGTCACATATATGTGCACAGAGAATATGTACAAGAATACTCACTGCAGCTTAATTTTAGTAAAAAAAAATCAGAAATAATCCACAGGTCCATCAGTAGGAAGACAGAAAAATATGGTACACTCATTAGTACACTGGATATTATAGAACAGTTAATGGATATATCACACGAATAGATCTCAAACATAATGTTGCATGAGAAAAGCAAGTGGCAAATGGCATTTCCCGTGTACTATCTACAAAAAACAAATTTGTTAGACACAAAAAAGCACTTGATATTGTTTTTGGATACACGGTATAGTAAAAAACTGTCATAAAAACATAGACTGAAAGGATACATGTGACAGTAATTGCCTCTCAAGAGTAAAGCAAAGAATACTGAGGAGGGCAACAAAGCAGATTTCAGCTTTTTGCTATAAAGTTCTATTTATTTTACCTTTAAATATCTCAGAGAAAAAATAAAGGCTTATGTTATTCCCACCATCAGGGACTTAAAAACGCACCTTTTGCTAAATCTTCTTCTTCTTTTTTGTTAGCCACAGTACCAGGATCCTTGGCTACAAGAGCTGGGCTTGCTTTTGCTTGTTCTGCAGCCTAACAAAAAAGAGGAACACAGTATTTGAGGGTTGTTATCAAATTCTCCTCCTCTCACCCACCCTAAGAATTTGCAAAACCTTTCTCATCAATCTAGCACAGATTTCTGAAAGAAGAAATCCAAACTGCAGCAGCTTCCACCTTAAAAGGGAGAGGGAAATGAATCAGAATTGGAGAACACAGAGAGCAACTAGACACTTAGAGGAGGCAGCCTAGGCACACCCTCCCAGGTTTGTGTGAAGAGGTTCAACTAAAAGCATATGGTACACAAGTCAGAGAAGACAGACTAGAGAAGATTTCAACGTGTTTAAAAAAACTCCAAAACCAGAAAAGAGGCTGGGAGACAGAAAGAGATGACTACTTTAAACATAAATAGTTAAAAAAAAAACTGTAGTATCTATTAATAGTTAGAGTTATCATTTCCTTTTGGATCAAGTGTCAGGATGTTATCTTCAGGAACTCAGATATATATATAAAACGATATAAATGCTCAAAAATCCTATTTTGTAAACCAAATTACAAGTAGTTAATTCTGACAGTATATCACTGCCTCTATTAAATTGTGTAAATAAGGGAATACACAACAAACATATAATTCAATTCACACTTCTGGAATTACAAGCTTCTAAGCCTATGGGCTCTGTGGCCTCTCAGTTTTTGCATAGCATTCAAGGCAAATCAGAATTTAGCCTATCTTACCAACCTCATTTCCAACCATTCTGCCAGTTACCAGAAACTGCTAGCAGTTCCTGAGCAGTCTCTATACCGGTACTTTACAGGTCTCACACTCATTTACTTCTACTTACAACGTTCTCCCCCTATGGCTCCTTTGCTCCGTTCACTTTTTCCCTTTTGAGTTTGAACACATCAGTCAGTAATCAGCTAAAATATCACTGTCAATGAAGCATCCCTCAACCTGTTAATTACACATTCTCTTGTTTGTTATTATGATAACACCTTTAAACAAGGTACTGCGATATGAGTGGTTAAGAATGTAAGTTGTGGAGTCAGACAGACATGAGTTCAAATCCCAGATCTACCACTTTCTAGCTGGATGACACTGGGCAAATTAGCCTCTTGGTGCCTCAAATTCCTCATCAATAAAATGACTACGATAATAGCACCTACACCTCATGGGCACCTCACAGCCTATTTAAAGTATTAAATTAACACATGTGATTCCAAAATCAGATGAGATGGGCTCATTCAGGGTTTAAAACAAAAAGTATGTAACATTACCTCCGGGGCTTATAACGTATGTAGAGGTAATACACATGACAACTACAGTGTAAACAGACCTCTACAGATGCAAAGTTGCTATATTTTACATCAAATATTAACTCAAAGTAGATCATGAAAAGTTATGAATGTATATTGTCATTCCCAGGGCAAACAATTTAAAAATGAAATTCTAAAACACATTCAAATTGCCACATGTACAGCACTTAGAACACTGACTGGAACATTGTAACAGGCAATAATCTCAGCTTCTGTTATAATTGTCTGATTACATGTCTGTCTCCACAACCAGACTGTATGTTCCCTGAGGGAATGTGCCTAAATATTACAAGCAATCAATCAATGTTTGTTGAGGGTATGAAAGGAAAAATATTCAACATTATAATAAAATACAGTTCTACATTCCTCACTTAACTGGATTTCGTGTTGTCAAACAAATGCACAGGCATTTATTTATTTATTTATTTATTTGAGTCTCGCTCTGTCGCCCAGGCTGGAGTACAGTGGCGAGATCTTGGCTCACTGCAAGCTCCGCCTCCCGGGTTCACACCATTCTCCTGCCTCAGCCTCCTGAGTAGCTGGGACTACAGGCACCTGCCACTACGCCTGGCTAATTTTTTGTATTTTTAGTAGAGACAGGTTTTCACCATGTTAGCCAGGATGGTCTCGATCTCCTGACCTCGTGACCCACCCGCCTCGGCCTCCCAAAGTGCTAGGATTACAGGCGTGAGCCACCGCGCCCGGCCAGGCATTTATTTTTAGAAGAGCTGAGAAGAAAAAAACTTTTTGGTGTTCACAGAATACAACTTTAAACACTCTCAATTCTGACCTATCTCTAGTTGCAATTTTCTTTAGATAATGTTTTAATTATCAGACACTTCTGAAAACTACAGGTATGCCTGGTCAGAAATAAGTTTTACGGTTTACATAAATTTTTGTTCACAATTTGGCAAACTTCACAATTAGACAGATTTGAACTTTTATGGTGTGTGAAGAAATCTCTACCAGTAGAGAAGCGCAGAAATAAGCTATGTGAAGCCGCATGTTTCTGAACTGCACTTTTTATTCAAAGTTCCTTTCTATCATCAGGTTCTAAATGTAACAATAACACTTGTCTTATTAAGCAGCCAACTACGGTAGCGGTGCTGCTAGCCTACTTCTATCTTTACATCAAAAGTTAGTGCTAACAGAACTGCATCAGTATGAGTCAGGTGACTTTATCACTTTTCTTAATATTTTTACATTATTTTCTTCTGTACTCAGATGAAAAAAATATACTTAGAAAAATATATCTTCAGAGGTTTTTGTTAAGTATGCCCTAACAAAAATCTAGTCTGATGAAAACACAGTAATAACTTAAGTAACTAAGTGGCTTTAAAATCTACAGGGAGTTCTGCAGTTGAACTTAGATGATTTATTTTTTTCATTTAATGTGAAGCTCTTTACATGTAGGGTTTCTAATAAGCTTTTCAGAAACCACTAAAAAAATCATTCTACCTCATCATATTTTACTTTATATGTATTTCTTGTAGGTGAAATATAGCCACTATGACAAGATTAGCTGTTACATACTTTATAACATCTAGATCAAAGGATGAAAATTAAGTCCTATCTTTACTATTGCTCTTCTATGTCCTGAATTTCTTGAACAAGAGAATAAGCTAGTTTCTCTACCAATCAAGACATAATGCTCTTGCCAGCATTCACTCCACTGGAAGCCTGGTCTAGACAGACACATATTCACTAACCTCTCTAACAAAGAAGGCAGACTCGGGCAGCGAAAAGAACACTGGACTGAGAATCAGCATGCCTGTGTTCTAGTTCCAGCTGTCAACTATGAGCTGTGTCCCTGGGCAAGTCACTTAACCATTCTGAGTCTCAGTTTCCTCATCTGTAAAAATGAGCGGATTAGATTAGAGGCTCCCTAAAACTGTTTCCGTGGCTAAGATTCTAGATTAACCAAACAAGGGTACATATGGCACAATCATTAATTCTTCCTTTTCTTACAAGAGTAAGTCCCTTTGTGGACTGAAACGCAGTTTTCACTTGCACTGAAGGCTGTCCTCTAGAGCAGCAGTGCTTCTCAGACCTCAACGTGCATATAAATCCTCTGAAGATCTTGTTAAAATGGAGATAATGAACCCATAGGTCTGGAGTGGGTTCAACCATGCTGCATTTCTAACAAGCCTCCAGGTAATGCCAGTGATGCTGGTCAAACCAAGTTTTGAGTTAACAAGAACCAAAGACTCTAGATATTTAGTGGGCTTGCATTTTCTCTACCTATTCTAGGTGGGTTCTCTGCAGTGAGTCTACTCTTTGATAAATAAACATTGTTTCTGTTGTCAAGGAATGTATAATGTCTTGGATTATTCTGTTTAAGATTTTTCCTTAATTATACAGATTCTAGAAACTATACTGAGTAGTAAAAACCAGCTATCAGTTATGAATGAATGAATTTTCAAAGACATAATTTTTTTAAGAAAATTTTAAACCAAAATTTTTTTAAGAAGAAGAATGTCCTTTGCTTCCTTCCTCTCCCAGATACATTTTTGAGTCTTCACATCTCAAGAGTGCTCAGATAAACTGGAAATGCCTTGGGAAGAAAGCACATGTAGGTCTGGATGAATGTAGATAAGCTACATGACTCCCTGAAGTGGTCAAAACATAAGCCCCTCCACACTCACAGATTTCTGTTCATGGTTTCACATCACTCATTACAGTCTGTCCCAGTCAATAAACTGGGGAAAGACAGTGTAGTAAATCAGCACATATTTTAAGCCTCTTGATTAGTTGGGCATCCTAAAGGAAGGTTACCCAAAATAGAAATAGGAATAAAAAAGACATTTCTTGATTTTTTTCTACATGACATAAATTAGAGACTGAATTTTTTTGGCACAAGGGTGGACAGGAGAGCAAAGTTAAGCTATTTAGCCATATCCACTGGGGAAAGGAAGACTTATGTACTGGTCGGCTCTTACTAAGGAGAAAATGCTTCAGGTGCTTCTCTTCCCATTTACCCCTTCTAAAGTCCTCTCATTGTTAATAGAGGAATTCATAAATTTCCTCCACAAAAGAATCTCTCAAGTCATCCCTAACTTTTAAGGATATCCTGATTTCTGAGCTATCATTCTTTGTAGAAAATTATAGCATTAAGAGCATTTAAAAAGACAGTGTTACCTAATTAATAAAGCTATTTTGTGTATATTATTAAAACTGTACTGGCTGGGCCTGGTGGCTCACACCTGTAATCCTAGCACTTTGGGAGGCCGAGGCGGGCAGAACACCTGAGGTCAGGAGTTCGAAACCAGCCTGGCCAACATGGTGAAACCCACCTCTATTTAAAAAAAAAAAAAATTTCCAGGTCTGGCTGCACGTGCATGTAGTCCCAGCTACTCAGGAGGCTGCGGCAGGAGAATCACCTGAACCCAGGAGGCAGAGGTGGCAGTGAGCCGAGATCACGCTACTGCACTCTACCCAGGGCGACAAACAAAGACTCCGTCTCAAAAACAAACAAACAAAAACTATACCAAAAAATTTCAAAAACTGCAAAATGTTAAACCAATTCGTTTATAAAGAAGTAGAGAGGTTAGAGCACATTAATATTCCATTATAATACTTTTCTGGCACCTCTGAATGCCAGAAAACTAGTATTACTAACTAGCAATACAACTAGTTACTAACACAATTAGCTAACGAAAATTCCTCTGAAGTAGTAAAAATTACCTGGGAATGAAGAAAAAAATTCAAATAAATATAGCTATTTAAGAGAAACAAACTGTAGCACACACACAACTTCATTCCCAAAATACCTGAGAGCCAATAGCTGGGAACGTAACTCCTTGTTCCTTAAGGTTCTTAATCATTGCTGATATTAGACTAAGCTGTGGATCATTCTTAAATTCATCTGTCCATTCAACCATAAGAGCCTTTAATTTTTCACATACTTTAGGATGACCCTGTAAAATAGAAAAAGAAATAAAAGAGCACCAATTTCCTAGCCAATGATTTAATACAGACATTTTAAATAGTAAAGTTATTAAGTGATGTTTTTTGAATCACAAGTTATGCATAGCTATAGACAAGAAAATATAGTTATTCGAAATAAAACTAATGTTCACACTATGAAAAAACCCATCATATATATCTCACTTCAAATTAAAGCATTAAATAGGTAATAAGATTTTGGAGATCTGAAAGGACTTTTCAGAATATTTTGCAACGAAGCAAGGTTTGTACATCAGTAAGACAAGGAAAAGTGTCTGCTTTTTGCAAAGCAATAAAAAAGTGGGAAGGAGAGAATAAATGATACAGTTCCTTTATTCCAAATTCCTGACTTCTTAATGTTCATGACTATGCATTTTTTCCATGATGCTTAATTATCTGGGGCCTAGTTTGAGGTACACTGCATGTTAATCATTTTGAAAATTTAATTTCTTCAAAATAACATAACTTTTTTTCCTTTCTTTTCTTTTCTTTTTTTTTGGTTTGTTTTTTGAGACAGAGTCTCACCCTGTGGCAGAAGCCGGACTGCAGTGGCTCGATCTCAGCACACTGCAACCTCCGCCTCCCAGAGGGGGGTGGGGGATGCGGTTCAAGCGATTCTCTTGTGTCAACCTCCCGAGTAGGATTACAGGCGCGCACCACCATGCCCAGCTAATTTTTGTACTTTTAGCAGACGCGGGGTTTTACCATGTTGGCCAGGCTGGTCTTGAACTCCTGACCCCAACTGATTCGCCCGCCTCAGCCTCCCAAAGTGCTGCGATTACAGGCATGAGCCACCGTGCCCAGCCCAAAATAACATAACTCTTTATGGTTGATGTATAACAAAGATTCAAGTTAGTCTAAGGCAGGTGTGCAGGGCATTATTCTTCCGTATTAAAGAAAGAGATAAATGTAGTGAGTTTTCAAAATAAATTATTTTACTCATTGCTTATTAAGGGAAAAAACCTGGCCAGTTCATTAAAATACTGATGTATCTTCATAGCGGCAATAATTTGAAGTCTTACTATTTGATGTAATAGATATAAAGAAACCTTCACAGATACCAGAGAAGAAATAACTCCTCTATGAAATGTCATGAATGTATTTCAAACCAATGCTTACTAAATAATTGGCTAAAGCTTTTAAAAATGGAGAAGGTTAGACTTTTAGATTACTCTATTAGAAGAAAAAAAATTCTTTCTAAGTGCACATGTAATCTGTATTTTGGTCAAGGAGCATATAATGGATTTGCAAACGCTTTATTGAGACTATACATGAACTTAATTTGTTTAATAAAAGGAAATTTTTTAAAAGGGCAGGATGTTGGCTGGGCGCGGTGGCTCATGCCTGTAATCCCAGCACTTTGGAAGGCCGAGGTGGGCAATCACAAGGTCAGGAGTTCGAGACTGGCCTGACCATCCCCATGGTGAAACCCCATCTCTGCTAACACTACAAAAACCAGCCAGGCGTGGTGGCGCATGCCTGTATTCCCAGCTACTCAGGAGGCTGAGGCAGGAGAATCACTTGAACCCGGGAGGCAGAGGCTATAGTCAGCTGAGATCACGCCACTGTACTCCAGCCTGGGTGACAAAGAGAGACACTGTCTCAAAAAAAAAAAAAAAAGGCGGGATGTTATTAAGTACAAAACCAATATGTTCACTGTAAAACATTCAGAAAATAAAGAGAAGTCCTCTTGCCTATAGGAAGTCGTTTTTGGAAATGGCTGCTTGCACTATTATACATAGGTAAGTATACCACATTTTTCACCTACATTACAAAAAACATGGTATTAGAATCTCTTCATAAACAGTTGTAATCTCGATGGACATTCAGGACATTAAAAGACAATGTTTATTAATTAGTAGAAAATAAATATTAACTGCATAAAGCAGGAAAGGGAAAGAATTATCATTTAACCATGATGTTCGAAAAGTACAGAATTTTACATTCTTACTATATTTCTATACTGCTATTTTTCTACTGTAACCTGGAACTATTCATTTTTCCCAAAAACATGAGGCATTTTCCCTTTTAACATACAAAAACTTTTTCTTGATTTACAGTACTCCCCCTAAAAAGGCCAAAAATAATTACTTTTAGAATGCACAAATTTTTACTGGGGAAACTCACATATTACTAATTGAAAATTGAAAAATTTCTTGAACTGTGTGACTAGAATTCTACAGTTGAGTGGGCAGTTGTAGGGTCCCCAGTTCTCCCTGCTTTCTTTCTGTGTCCCAATAGAAAAACAGAGTGCCTTGTCCCGCTCTGTGACCTAGCCAGCTGCATGTTTTCCACCATAGGTTTGGACCCAAACTGGGGCCTTGAACATTCTCAGGCACTGATAAAGTTGTTCAGGTTGTGGCCCAAAACACTAAAAGATCAAGTATGTTGCTAAACACACAGAAACCAGCCCCAACCCTGAGCCAAATTCCTTAAACCCTCCTATAAACTGCAGCCCTCCTGTGTAAGTTCCCCTAATAAATCCTTTAGACTGATCACCCTGGCATTTAGTGCCTCTTTTTTTGGACTCTCATCTGGCCCTATCTGGAACAGTTTGGGGCAGTCCCTTGTGGAAACTCCCCCGCCACCACTTTTGAGGCAACTCCAGCTGTGGGTTCAGCCAGTAAGAATAGCAGTATAGTATTAAAATCCTGTGATGGCCAGGAAGCAGCCTTATTGATAAAGATAAAAACTCAACGGTGCCATAGACTTTTTGCAGTGTTTCTGAAAGGTTTTCCATTAGGAAAATACCTTGTGCCTACAAAAACAGTATGTAAAATAGACTGATATTATTTAATTAGATATAGAAATACCTGTTTTCTTATCAGATGAAAGTATGATGGAAAAGAACAGGTTAAAAACACTCTAATATGGCTTGAAAAAACTAACTCAAAGTTACATGAATCCGCAGTCTCTTCAACAAAACATAATATTTATTTATATACTGGATAGACACAGCCTAGAAAGGATTTCTTAAAAAGCACAGAATAGTCCTCTGTGAAGATTTAAACAATAAAATATGTGAAGAAAGAAGACTGCCTTAATTAATTTCTGGAAATAATGCTCCTTACCTTATTTAATACGTTGCTTACTTCACTAGCAAAATCTCTTGAACATACTTCTAAATGAAAAATTTTGCCACAGTTTGATACACATGCTCCTAGAAGCTAAAAGCACAAAATCAGAAGTTAAAGGGGCTCAATTGTGGCAGGTAATTTCGTGGTACAGATTAAAATGAAACCACTCACAGTCAAAGCCTGCATAGCAACGTGAGGATCTTTGTGGTTCACTCTTCTCATAATAGACCGAAGACAATCCTTAGGTCTAAAAAAATGAGAAAAGTAAAAATTACTTAATAATACATCTAGCTTCCCCCTGCCCCTTAACTGTTATAGACAAAAGACTACGATAAAAAGGGAGACTATGATAAAGTAGGGAAATTTAATTTTTATTAATAACACGGTTGAAAAACTGTAAACTAGTTCCTTTAAATTTTTCAAACAAAATTAACAGGCTCTCTTATTAGTAATCGTAGATGAGGCATTTCAGGCTAATTCTGGGTAGGAAAAAAAAAAAGGTTTGAAAATAAAATGGTAGGCCATGACTTCCACTTCCAGCCAGGGTGGAAAAACAGACCAGACTTACACTCCCGTTGTAAACAATTAGAAAACTGGAAAAACAGATTTTCCACACTGAGGTTAACTTTTTAAAGACATGAGGCCACAGGCAGTACTGAATGATAATATCCAAGAAGGAAAATGAATTAGATAAGCCAGAAGTTTGCCTCAACTTTCTGCCTAGAGGCACTTTCCAAGTATCAGTGAAGACCTTCTGAAAAACCCACGCATGCACAGGTGAAAAACTCCATGAAACTGGTCAAAAAGTGACCGAGGGCGATATGCTAAAGAGATCCAACGCTCACACAGTCGTCAGAGATGAGGCCACAGTGAAGCATCTATTGAAAATCCAGAGGATTCAGTGGATATACAGGGGAGTTTAGACCCTAGCAATGCAGCTCAATCATACCTACATACTGCCTAACAACATAAGCCACAGACGAATGTAACCACTTCTGAAAAAATAAAGTCCAATACTCCTTAACAGGAATACAACACCTGATGCTCAAAAATATAAAATTCAAAGTACTAAGCATTCAATAAAATGATATGAAGACATGATATGAAGAAGAAAACTACCATACACAACTAGCAGAAAATTCAGTCAACTGAGAATGCAGAAATAACAAAGATGATGAAATTAGCAGTCAAGGACTTTATATAAGCTATTATAAGCATGCTGGAAATCATCCACATAATGATGAAGAAATATATTAAAAAGGGCCCAGATAAAAGTCTAGAGACAAAAAAATATGTAAAATTAAAAAGTGGATGGAATTAATCAGGTAAGAATGAAAGATCAGTAAATTTGAAAATATGCTGAAAGTACCCAAACTGAAGTACAGAGAGAAAAAAAATGAAAAAATTTAACACAGAGCCACCACTACAAATATTTTTAAGAGAAAAATGAAAATAAAATAGCTTGGGTGCAGCAGCTCACACCTATAATTCCAGCATTTTGGGAGGCCGAGGTGGGCAGATGGCTTGAGTCCGGAAGTTTGGGACCAGCCTGGGCAACACTGTGAAACCCTATCTCTACAAAAAATAATACAAAAATTAGCCAGAAATGGTCCCAGCTCCTATGGGCGCAGTGAATGGCCTGAGGTGGGAGGTTCACTTGAGCCCCAGAGGTCGAGGATGCAGTGAGCTGTGATGGCACCACCGTACTCCATCCTGAGAGACAGAGTGAGACCCTGTCTCAAAACAAAGTTTTAAATCAAAAAAATAAAACCATAAAAACCATTTGATTGATACACAAAAGACAGAAAGAGAAAACAGAAGAAACATAACCAATCATCTAGAAAAATGGCAGATTAAGATTGTAATCCAACTACACTTTTATCTATTCACTACCGTTAGCAGTTTTCATAACAAGGAATACTAACAGGGATAAAGAGAGACAGTACATAATAATAAAACGGTTAAGTCCCCCAAGGAAACATAATTCTAAATGTGCATGAACACAAAAATAGAACTTCAAAATATATAAAGGAAACATCGATACAGCCGAAAGGAAACACAGACAAATCTACTGGAAACTTCAACATGCCCCCTCAATGACTTGATAACACAAGAAAAAAAAGTACTGATATGGAATACCTGAATGACACTATCATGAAACTTGACCTGACTGGCATTACACAACAATCCACCCACCCATGGCATTATACACATTTTTTTTCATGTGCATGGAAAATTCAACAAAATGGACTACATTCTGTCCTATAAAACAAACACTGATAAATTTAAAAGGACTAAAGTCATACAAAGTACATTCTTTGACCATAACAAAATTAAACTACAAATTGATAACAAAATGATAGCATAAAAATACCCAAATATTTGGAAATCAAATAACAAATATCTAAGGCTTACAACAAATGAAATCACAGAACCATAATTTCCCTTAAGGACATGAAAATGAAAGCATACTACCCAGTACTCTTTATAAGAATGTTCACAGAGGCTCTGTTCAGAGTCAAAACCTGGATACAATCCAAATGCCCATCAACAGATGAATGGATAAATTGTAATATATTAACACAATGTAATACCTCTTCCCCAAGAAACAGGAATATTGATACATACAAAAATTTGAATTCATCTTAGAAACACATTTAGTGCTAGACACAGGAGTACTGACAATACTATTTCATTTTATGAAATTCTAGAAAAGGAAATTTAATCTATAGTGACAATGCATATTAGTACTTGCATAAGGTGGAAGGAACTTTTGGGAGTGATTAAATGCTATCTTGGTTGGGGTGATACTTATATAGGTATATATATTTGTCAAAACTCATCAAACTATCAAACCATACACATACAAGGGATGCTCTTTGTTGTAGATAAATCACAGGTCAGTAAAAACAGATCTATTTAAATGACAGGCCAAGAATGTAGCAAACATGCATTTCATGGGGATGCTTTATGGTAATTAATGATAATAGTAAAGCAGAGTAATCATTCATATAACCTACGAAACATCATGTGCTTAGGCTCTCAAAAATTATATAATAAGCAAAGGACTCATTCAGTGTTCAAAACATTCACAGCAAACCAAGTCCTCCATTTACTGAAGTTCAGTTCCTTGCCCATGATGCCAGTTACCAGGCAGTAATAGGCACTAACAAGATTCATACCTGTCACTTAAACATGCTATGTTCTGGACACAGATATGCCTCCCAATAAATTCAGATAACATAAACAGGGAGCTCTTTATATAAGTCAAAAGGATAGCCTCAAAATATTAAATCATCAGATTAAAATGACATATATTTTCCTCTAATAACACAATACATTATCAACATCTATAAATTATTTGAACTAGAAATAATACAATATATTATTCTCAAGGGCATATGGATATTACACATGATAAACAATGTTAAGCCATAAAACAAGTCTCTACAGATTTAAAAAGATAAAAAATCATAGAAAGCATGTTCTCCAAAGACAGAATAAAATCTGAAAGAACAAAGAAATATAGAAAATTAAAATACGTGAAAATCAACATCCTCCTAAATAGCCAATGGGTCAATGAAAAAAATCACAGGGGAAATTAGAAAATACTTTGAGATTAATGAAAAGGAAAACATAACCCAAGAAAACTTAAGGGTGTAGTAAAACGGTGAGAAGGTAATTTATACCTATAAGCACCTACATTAAAAAAAAAAAAAAAAAAGACGATCTCAATACCACCTCACACCCATCAGGATGGCTACTATAAAGAAAAACAGAAAAAATGGTAAGTGTTGACAAAGATGTGGAGAAATTGAAACACTTGTGCACTGTTGGTGGGAATGTAAAACGCTACAGGTGCTGTGTAAAACAGTATACTGGTTCCTCGAATAATTAAAAATAGAATTACCATATGCTCCAGCAATTCCACTTCCAGGTATATACCCCAAAGGACTGAAAGCAGGCAGGGTCTGGAGGAGATAGTGGTATACCCGTGTTCATAGCAGCATTATTCACAATAGCTAAAAGGCAGAAGCAACCCAAGTGTCCACAGACGCATAAATGGATAAGCAAAATGTGGTACATACATACATGGAATACGCTATAACAGGGATGAACTTTAAAGCCATTACGCTAAGTGAAATAAGCTGGTCACAACAGGACAAATGCTGTATGATGCCCCTTAGATGAGGTACTAAGAGTAGTCAAAATCAAGGCCGGGCACAGTGACTTGCACCTATAATTCCAGCACTTTGGGAGATGAAGGTGGAAGGATTGCTCCAGCCAAGGAGTGTGAGACCAGCCTGGGCAATATAGTGGGACCCTGTCTCTACAAGAAATTTTTAAAATTATCTAGGCATGATGGCACACACTTGTAGTCCCAGCTATTCGAGAGGCTGAGGTGGAAGGATCACTTGCTGCAGTGAGCCACGATTGCGCCACTGAACTCCAGCCTGGGTGACAGAGTAAGACCATATCTCCAAAAAAAGAAAAAAAAAAAAAAAGAGTAGTCAAAATCATAGACAGAAAGTAGAATGGTGGTTGCCAGGGGGCCTGGGGAGCAGCGAATGGGGAGTTATTGTTTAATTGTTTAATGGGTATACAGTTTCAGTTTTAAAGAGTTCTGGAGGTAGATGGGGACTAGAGTTCACAACATTATGCAGGTATTTAATACCATTAAGATGGTAAATTTTATGCTATGTTTATTTTGCTACAATCTAAAGAATTGGGGAAAAAGATCTCAAATCAATAACCTAAGATTATACCTTAAGAAACGAGGAAAAAGAGCAAGGAAACCCAAAGCAAGCAAAGGAGAAGGAGGGAAACAATAAAGAGAGGCAATAAATAAAACAGACAACAGAAACACAATCAAGAAAAGCCAATGAACACAAGTTTTTTTTTAAAGGATCAACAAAACTGAAAAACCTTTGGTTAGACTGGCCAAGAAAGAAAGGTGACTCAATTTATTAGAATCAAAAAACAAAGAGGGAACATTACTCTCAACCTCACTGAAATAAAAAGGATTTTAAAAGACCCTATGAACAACTTTATGCCAACAAATTGGATAACCTAGTTAAAATGGACAAATTCCTACAAAGACAGGAAACTACCGAAACTAACTCTATGATATGCTTAGCTGTTGAAAGAAAAAAAGAAAAAAGAAAAGAAACTGACTTAAGAAGAAACAGAAAATCTGAATAGACCTATGTAACAAGTAAAAAGACTAAATTACTGATTAAGAAAACTTCCCACGAAGAAAATCTCAGAAACAGAAAGCTTCACTGGTGAATTCTACCAAATGTTTAAAAATTAACATCAACACTTCATTTAAAAAAAAAAAACACACGCAAATTAAACATCAAAATTAAAAGTTTTTGTGCATTAAGGGATACCATCAATAAAGAAAAGTCAACCCACAGAATGGGAGAAAATATTTCCAAATCATATATATGACAAGAGATTAACAGCCAGAATATATAAAGAACTCCTACATCTCAACAACGAACAACAACCCAATTCAAAAATGGGCAAAGGACTTGAATAGACATTTCTCCAAGTAAGATACACAAAGGGCCAATAAGCACATAACAAATGCTCAACATCGCTAGCAATTAGGGAGATGCAAATCAAAACCACATTGAGATGCCACTTCACACTCACTAGGCTGGCTATTTTTTTAAGAAAGGAAAGATACCAAATATTGGAGGGGATGTAGTGAAATTAGAACCCTTGTACATTGCCGGTGGGAATGTAAAATGGTGTAGCTACTGTGAAAAGTGTGGTAGTTCCTCAAAAAATTAAGCATAACCACATATAATCCAGCTGGGACTCTAACCAATATCCGTACACCCATGTTCAGAGTAGTATTAATAGTATTCACAACAGCCAAATGTCCATCAACGAAAGAATGGATAAACAAAATGTGATATACAATGGAATAGTATTCAGCCTTAAGGAAATTCTGACACATGCTATATACAACATGGATGGACCTTGAAAACATTATGCTAAGTGAAATAAGTCTGACACAAAAGCACAAAAAATTCTATGTTTCCACTTCCATGAGGTATCTAGAATAGACAAATTCATAAAGATAGAACATAGAAAAAAGTAACTAGTGGCTAGGAGGGGAAATGGACAGCCATTATTTCAAAGGTGTAGAGTTTCTACGTGGGATGATGAAAAAGTTCTGAAAATGGATAGTGGTGTTGGTTGCATAATACTGTGAATGTACTAAATACCACTGAATTATACACTTAAAAATGATTTAAATAGTAAACTTTATGTTAAATATATTTTACCAAAATAAAATAAGTACTAATACAAGCTACAACATAAACGAACCTCAGAAGAATTACACTACATGAGGTTGGGCGTGGTGACTCACGCCTATAATCCCAGCACTTTGGGAGGCCGAGGCAGGCGGATCACCTGAGATCAGGAGTTCGAGACCAGCCTGGCCAACATGGTGAAACCTCATCTCTACTACAAATACAAAAACTTAGCCAGGCACAGTGGCATGTACCCCATCCAAGCTACCCAGGAGGCTGAGGCAGGAGAATCGCTTGAACCTGGGAGGTGCAGGTTACAGTGAACTGAGATTGTGCCGCTGCATTCTAGCCTGGGCAACACAGCGAGACTCTGTCTTCCAAAAAAAAAATTACACCACATGAAGAAAGTTGATCACAAAAGAACATGTATTGCAGAGCTCCATTTATATGAAATGTCTACAACAGGCAAATCCACACAGATAGAAAGTAGATTAGTGGTTTCCAGGAATGAGGAGAGGTGGGAATGGGAGTGACTGCTAATGAGTACAGCTTTCTTTTTGGGATGATGATTGTTCAGGAATTAGATACTGTTGCACAAACTTATGAACATATTAAAACCCACTGAATTGTATATTCTAAAATGGTAAATTTGATGGTATGTGAAATATATATGTATTTATAAAAGTAAAAACTTTTATCGGGCAATTTGAACTCCAATGAGCCCTGGAAAGCAAAGCAATATGCTTAAGTATAATTAGTTAGCACTGTAATAAATACAAAAAAATCCTTTTTAATAATTATATAGAAAAATTAGGATACAAGGTAGGATTCCTGATTTTAAGGATGCTCAACTGCCTGTGAGGCTGCTTCCACCTAAAGAGCATGGTGAAGGGAGAAACAACACACAAAAGAACTAATATTGACTGAATGTCTATTATGTGCCAAGCATTCAATTTTTTTAATCCTAAAACTTTTTTCTTCTACTTTACTGATTTTGTAAGAGATTAAAATTTTTGGATAGCAGCATCATTAGACTGAAGAAATTATGTACTTTAACACTATTATTTAGATTTTGCCTTTTTCACAGTTGGACTTATTTTAGGAGCCAGGGTCCGTGACCCCATACTGACTTGCAGTTGTGAATACCATGCCGACATAAAAACACAAAACAATCATTTCAATGCATGGTAAAGGCCAGATATAAAGAATTATTTGAATACTAAAATTAAAATCAGTAAAAAATAATCTAAAGATGATTCAGCTCAATATTTTAGAAAATAATCCTGTATACTTTCTTTACCAAATGTTAAATAAAATTGATTATGTATTTTGTTTATAAACCACTTTTTTTTAAGGTAGGAAACCTAAACTGTGACTTTTGGAAAGGATGGTGGGGAAAGGGGTGTTGAAATGAAACTATTCCTTTTTATTTTAGACATTCCTATGTTGTTTTACCACAGCCAATTGTAAAAACCAAAGCAAAGATATCTCTGGCACCAAAATAAAATTGGCTACTGAACCATTAAAAGGACAGAGCTGCAAAGCCAGTAAGAATGAAGCGCTGATGAACACCTTGTTTGTGCAAACACAGCAGTATCTTTTTACATACTAGCTTAAAAATCCCTTCAGAACTGTCTACAAAACAGAACTTAACCACTATTATGAACTGTTTCATTCTGTCCTATGCATTTTTAATTCAGTTTTTAGTATTTCCACCAGATAGGTAATACTGAACTTTTATATATATATATATGTATAATTATTAAATCTTACCAAGTAATTAAAAGTATGGTTAAAACACTACTTTTTAAAAAGGTTTGGGGATTATAAGTGAATTTAACGTGAGTATACTTCTGGCTATTATCCTTCCAATGACAAATGAAAGTTGATTACAAGCATGGTGTCTATATAATTCATTCTCTATGGCAGTACCCTTTCGCGAGTGAAAGATGGTGTTAACTGGACATAACAGAGGAACAGCAGGCATAAACTACAATTGTCCAAGGCAAATTGGATGTTATGGTCACAACAGCCAAAACTATGTTCATCCACAAAATCATCTTTTTATGAATAGATCTGGGTCATATAGTTCGTAAGAGGGTAAAAGAAAAGGGGGCAGTATTTCTATACCGTTGCAGCTTCCAATGTCTTTTTCTCAAATCACAGACCAGACAAAGAACAGACTTTGCAGGAATGTACATAACTGCCTACATATGTCAGCTGATGAACTGAAAGCATCAAATTCAATTTCATTATTTACCAGTATTACTCCTATCTCAACAAACTGCACTGTCAGATTCAAAGAAAGGAGATTTAAGATGGAGCTCCTCTCTATCACATCCTCCCTATACCCACTCCTGCCCCATTATACCACTCTCAACCATTCAGTTTCTAGGTGAAGTCATAACTATTAAAAATAAGTCAGCTCATGCCTGGAAGTAAATGAAAATTAAGTCGTGAACCTTCCTTAATCAATCAATCTTCACACACAAATATCCAAACTGTGCTACTGTGCTTTCTTTTGCAATAGACCTTTCTAATTTCCCAAACAAAACACAAACTCTGCAGAACTTGAAGCTCTTAGGGCAAATGTGCAAAGGACAGATTTTTTTTTTAATGAATTCTATCAGCAGTCACTTCTCTGATCTAATGGTAAATTAAGAAAACTTCTCATTTTTGCCCATTCATCGTGTTGGAAGTACTCAGATAATCTGATTCCACCACATGGAGTGCTATTTGTAGGTATCAGTGCAAAAGGATACCGGCCCTTTGGATTAATCTAATTAGGTAAGCAAGACTTTCAGGGTGAATCACCGCCATAAAAATTAGAGAGTCACTGTTAAAAAAAAATTCAATAGGTACCAAAGAACTCTGTTAATAATACTTTCCATAACTAACGTTCATTAATTACCTTCTAGGTGACAAGCATTATGCAAGGCTTTAGGAATAAAGTAGTGAACAAGAAGAGACTGACCCTGCTTCATGAAGTTCATAGTCTAGCCTAGTGTTTTTTTCTAAAACTTAAGTGAATCCCTGTATAAGTTAAAACTGTGACATAAACATAGTTGTCCAAACTTTATATAAACTACAATATCATGTTTAAAACCATCAATTTCAGAAAACGCTACTATCTTTTTTTTTTTTTTGAGACAGAGTCTCACTCTGTCTCCCAGCCTGGAATGCAGTGGTGCGATCTCAGTTCACTGCAACCTCCACTTCCCGGGTTCAAGCAATTCTCCCACCTCAGCCTTCCAAGTAGCTGAGATAACAGGCAGGCACTACCATACTCAGCTGATTTTTTTATTTTTAGTGGAGACAGGGTTTCACCACATTGGCCAGGCTGGTCTCAAACTCCTGACCTCAGGTGATCCACCCACCTTGGCCTCCCAAAGGGCTGGAATTACAGGCGTAAGCCACGTGCCCAGCCAAAAAATGCTATTATCTTTAATTAGGCTTTTATGAATGTTCATAAACTAAAAGCTGTATCAGGCCATGTGTCTAAAACCAAGCGATGAAAAGGCACCATGAAAGAAAATCTTCATGACTACCTAATCAGTTAAGATTCCCTATCTGTCAGCTGTTCATATTTATAAATACACACAAATGGGTACATCTTTCAACACAGAACAATTTTTTCCATGTCAAAAGTCATAATTAAATGTTAGATTTAAAAATGAAGAAACCCTTGTATCACATTTTGTCATTCCATTCTTAAGGATTGAGTGTCTCAAGTATCAAAAGTGGAATTTATAATTTTGTTTATTAGAATTATTTTTTCCTAATGGTATTTTTCATTGTTTTGTTAAGTTCAAAGTTCTGATTCAACACTTATGGAACTAACAGGCCTCAGGCAAATTATGTATTCCAAAGATAACTATGATAATAATTCCTTTGACATGAACTTACCATTTCCCTTCAAGAGGTGACATCTAACAACCCTCCCCTTGAACCTGGACTGACTTCAGTGACTTGCTTGACCAATAAAATATAGTGGAAGTGACATTCTGAGACACATAACTTACAAGAAGCCATGTGGAGTACATTTGGGTCTCCTGGAGCACTAGCTCTTAGGATGCTCCCTCTGGGAACCCACCACCATTCTGTGAGAAGCTCAAGCCACAAGCAGAGGCCTTGGGTAAGAGTTTCACCTGATAGCCAGGTGAGGTCCCAGGTGATGGTCGACCATCACTGCTCACCATACTAAGCATCCATCCCAGTGAAGCCTTCAGATGACCCTAGTCCCAGGCACTATGTGACTACAACTTCATGACAGACCCCACGCAAGAACTGCCCAGCTGTTAACCCACATAACTTTGAGATATAATAAACTGCTCTTTTAAGCTAAGTGTTAGGACAGTTACTACTAAGAGTTGTGTAGTAAGAGATAACTAGAACAGCCTCTAACAAAGGAAGCTGACGGCTGGTAGGTTTGAACAGTACTAAGTCATATTATTTAGAATTGTTTGGGTCTTCTTTTAATCTCTGTTTAAAACATAACTTAAACATAATACATATTTAAATAAATTCACTTCAAGTTTATAAAGACTAAATCAGGTCAGGCTTACAAAAGCCAGCCATGAATCTCATCCCTGGATCACTTCTCAAAACCCTGCTCTCTTGGACCTCCAGTCCCTCCAAGGACTCTCCCGCCCTGCTGTTCTTAGTCAACGCTTACTCATCCTACAGATCAGAGCTTACACATCTCTTAAACTGAGGAACTTAGGCCCTTGACAGCTCCCCACATCAAGCTGTGCCTGGAATGTTAGGTATTCCTCCTGCAAACTCAAATATTGAACTAAATCTGTCAGATAATAGTTGTAACACTAATAGTTAACGCTTAGGGAGTGCCTGCTTTGTGTTAGATGCTGTGCTGAGAACCTCACAAGCAGACAATCTGACTCCAGAGTCTGTGCTCTTCACCATCACATGATAAAGCTTTAGCATTTAACACCTCTCTTCTGTTGGGTTGGTTTGCGGGGTTTTTCTCCTTAACTACTTATCTCCCCATCATGAGGGCTGCTGAAGGCAGGGCCCAGGGTTACACAGCTCATCCTTGGCATGCCACTCCTTAACCATGCCCTCTGGCACATAATAAACTGTCAACTGAAATTTGAGAAAATGAAAATAAGAATTATTTAGCAACTGCTGTTGCTCTCCCGTGACTGAAGTTAAAACACTGTCATTGCGAATGGGGCCTAGAATTGTGCCTTCAACGTGGCTGATGCTCAAAAAAAAGTCACTGAGCAAAACACGAAAAATACTGCTTTTCACTATTGTACAACTAATATTTAGAATAAGTCATCTTCCTTATAAAGTTCTATTTATTACCAAGTTCTGTGTATCTTCCACTGAGTTCGCTAAGTGGAAAACATACATCCTTTCATAAAATGTAGTTAATAGAACTATAATAAAGCCATGAGGGGGAAAACGCACAATAAGTAGTGCTGGGAGGAACAGAGGATGTGAGAAGAGACGGGTGGCAATAAACACAAAATATTTTGTAAAAATACATGGTAAGAGAAAATCTGCACGTGCACTTAGAAGAGTCTACCAAAGGTTTCCATCACCTACCTGTTTAAAGGGTGGGCAAATCCTCATCTCTCTCAAAAAGCTTCTTAAAACCCCATTTTGGTATTTTAAAACTTTTTGTAAGACACATCCTCTCTTTTCCTTATCTTGAGATGGGAAAAGAAAAAGATAGGGGTCAGGGGCAGGGACAAAGAACAGGGAAAGGAGAATTATCTCTCACTTTTCCCAGTTTTCCACCTAAAAATACCTACTTATCATTTGATAAATGACCATAACACAAATCACACTGCTGTAAGATGTCACAGAAGAACAACATTCTTAAGGTCAGTTTCCAAAGTCAAGGTATAAAGGCCAAAACTGCAGTTACTCCATTTTCTTTGATTAGGGATTTAACTATTGGAGAACTCATGAACCGTCTCTCAAATGTGTCCAATACAGCCAACTTTTCCTCAATTATTAAAGCAAAACTGTTACTTTGAGCAACAGCTGAAGAAGCTGGCTTGCATACAGGACTATGTTAGATAAAATATGCATGCTCCGAGCAAGAATGGCCCTCAGCACAGCAAGGTATTGATGCTATGAGAAAAGTGGGAATTGTAATTGTGAGACAGCACATACAAGCTCACTAAATGAATTGGCAGGCACAAGTTTTTTGGGAAAAAATCTGAGGAGGCTGGAAAAGAATACAGTTAAATTCAGTAGGTTAAACATGTATATGATACAGCTCAATTCTACAGTCAGAGGATCAAGGAAAACTAAAAGCAATTTTGCATTCTTGCAATTCTCTTTTCCAAGAAAAGTGAAATTTCAAATGTCTTTGAATGGCCCACAGTAAGTTTTCAACAATGTCACTATATTATTTACAAATGTCTATCTACTTATAGGTATACTGTTGTACAGTTATGAGAGATCTATAGCTCAATGTTAGGCGCGGTCACCAGTTAGTGAGATTATCTGAAAAGGTATTTCCATTGCTATATAGGAGGAAGCCAAGAATATTTAAAGCTATTGTTGGAAAAAGGAGTCAAGATTTGTGACATCCTATGCTGTATAAAACTTTTGAAAATTCTCCTATTTCAAATAGCTCTATATCTCAGTTGAAAAGTACTTTTTAGTATCATAAAAACCATATGCCGAGCAGTGACAGGAAGATTGTATACTCTAAAGGAAATTATTGTCATTGAAAAGACAGTAAATTTAAATTCTAATTCCTGTATATATTACTAAATTAATAAATGATTTTTAGACCAATCAACTTTTCAAAATGAGGATATCACCTCTTCATTATCCCTCTCTCAGGACATAACAAAATAACAGGGTATTTGCCTAAAAGTATTGCAAATATAAAAGAAAAATGATCAAAACAAAAATTATCAATAGCAATAATAAAAAACATGGTTAACAAATATGTTTGCATGGTTAACCTCTAATAACCTATGTCAGACTAAAAACGTACAAGGACACTAGTGAAAGACTATCTGGCATGTTGCATCCCTGATCCCTGCTAGTTACTACATCAGTAACATCAGTAGTAACCCGCCTGTCATGGGACACCTGAAACCATCCCTAATGGAGCAATACCACCCAGGCTGAAAACCATTACTAAACAAAAGAAGCATTGTGATACAGTAGAAAAACGATTTGAAGCTTTGACAGACCTCATCTGTAAAAGAGGAGATGTCTAATACCTCCTTATCAGAATGTTAATACAAAACTCCTAGACTCATGCCAGGGATTTAGAGACTCTCAACAATGTTAGTTCTTGAAAGCACAAAAATGTTTCATTTTTTATCTTTGCTTTTACAACTGTAGCTTTCAAAGTTATTTTAGAGTGATTTAAACATTACATCTTCATCTAAAATGCTACAAAAAAAGCTTTACTGTGGTTTACCATTCAAGGACATATGTACGTCTATATTGGAGGAAGGAGGAGTATGTGCATGCATAGCTTTTATAGGTCTTAGTATACCAGGACCTAGCAGACACACAGCAGCTAAAAGACATGGGAACTCAAATCTTTGCTGAATGAACTAAATATTTTTAGAAATTAAGAGATAATATGAATGCTCCTTGAATACTGAGTAGAGCCTTATTTAGATGCCTTTCATAAGCATGAAGGCATGTCACAGACTGTAAGAGAATTCTAATATAAAAGTACAAAAGAAATCACAACAGAAATAATGCAATCTTTATATACTGAACATATTCAAAATGCAAATTTGATTTGTAACATACATTACATAAAACATAATCCACACAACATATAAAAGGAGCAAAATATAGAGTACAAATATCAAATTATTCCCTTAATGTTAAGCTTATTAAGTAGGCATTTCTTATGAGATAATGGAACGTGAATATAAATATATACAGTGATGTTATTTGACTATTATTTAACAAACATGTTCATGTAAGTCCCAAAGGACTTCATTAGAAAAGCAGATAAACTAAACTTCTACATGCTGAACTAAAATATTGAGGATTAAATTCAGTACGATGATATTTTGAGTTTTCTAGACCATGTAACACTAAGGTATATTTCAGTCAAACAAAACACAATGTAACATAACGTATGGGGAGAGAGGAATCACCAAAAACTTTAATGTAAGATTGGTATGTCTTGATTCATAATTTTAACCTTCAAATATAACTGCTCATACAAGCACCTAAGCACACAGCACAGTGAAGGTAGAAAAAAACATAAAATGGGAAGTAAAGAAATCTGACTTCTAATTTTGCCTCTGCTCACTCGTTTTAGACAAGTCACATTAAAAATCTCAGGGCTTTAGTTTTCTCATCTGCAAAACAAGCACAACAGTCATCAGAATTCTATAAGTCTCATTCTATAAAATATACGATGTTTTTAAGACTTAGTAAAATAAAAAAGTAAAATCATTGTCTAGGCAAGTAAAGATAGAAAAATCAGCTCGCATCGGATCCCATTCCCTATTGCCTAGTCAACAACTTGACTTCTGTTGTTATCCCAATTCTCTCCTGAATCATCATCTCAATTTCCCCCTCAAAGTGCATCATTCTCTTCCAGATACACAGATGCTATAATCCCGTCTACCCTTTAAGAAGGGAAATTCCCAGCTGGGCGCAGTGGCTCACGCCTGTGATCCCAGCACTTTGGGAGGCCGAGATGGGCGGATCACGAAGTCAGGAGATCGAGACCATCCTGGCTAACATGGTGAAACCACGTGTCTACTAAAAATACAAAAAAAAAAAAAAAAAAAGAAAAGAAAAGAATTGGCCGGGCATAGGGCATAGGGGCGGGTGCCTGTAGTCCCAGCTACTGGGGAGGCTGAGGCAGGAGAACGGTGTGAACCTGGGAGGCGGCATTTGCGGTGAGCTGAGATTGCGCCACTGCACTACAGCCTGGGTGACAGAGCGAGACTCCATCTCAGAAAAAAAAAAAAAGAAAGAAAGAAAAAGAAGGGAAATTCCCAATCAGTGAAAGAAAAACCCCACTGAAACAGCAGCAAAAAGGACAAAATACCTCAGACGAAACATTACAAAAAATGTACAAGACTTTTAAGAGGAAAACTTAAAAACACTACTAAAGGTTATAAACAAAAAGAGATGCTATGTTCTCGGATAGGAAGATTTAATATCATAAAGACATAAATTTGTTAATTTAAAACTAGGCCAATTTAAACAGAAAGTTTTGTTTTTAACCCAGCCAACTCAATTTGAAAGTTTATTTAATGAGAGTAGGAAGGGGAAAGAATATCTAAAACAACATTTCCGGAAAAAAAAAAAAAAACCTCAAGACCATATCCTACCAAATGTCAAAACATATTAATAATTAAAACCATGTGGTAGCAGAATGTGTTTAGACACATACCAACGGGTCAAAAGAGAAAAACAGACTTAAATACATATGCAAATATAATATATAAAAGAAATATTTCAAATCAGAAGAAAAAAAGATGGACGATTCAGTAAATGGTGTTGGGATATTTGGTAGCCAAATAGAAAAGAATAAAGTTAGAACCATACTTCATACTGCCTAACAGGATAAATTCCAAATAGATCAAAGACTTGAATGTAAAAAACAAAACCATACTGAGACTGTGGGGACAGTCTGGTGGCTTCTAACAAAGATAAACAGTCTTACCATATGATCTAGCAATCATGTTCTCACATATTTACCCAACTGAACTTAAAACGATGTCAACACAAAAGGCTGCAAATTCATGTTTATAGCAGCTTTATTAAAAATCACCAAAACTGGGAGCCAACAAGATGTCCTTCAGTAGGTTAATAAACAAACTGTAGAACATCCATATAATGGAAGAGTATTCAGCAATAAGAAGAAATGAACTACTGAGCCACGAAAAGGCACGTAGGAACCTTAAATGCATACTGGTAAGTGAAAGATGCCAGTCTGAAAAGGCTATATAGTCTACGATCCCAATTACACAACATTTGGAAAAGATAAACTTGTAAACAGTAAAAAGATCAGTGGCTGTTTAAAGTGCAAAGAGAGGAAGGAAAGGAATGAACAGATGGAGCACAGGTCATTTTAAGGTGATAAAACTATTCAGCATGGTACTGTAATGACAGATACGTGGCATTACACAATGGTAGACACATGTCATTATATACACTGTCAAAACCCATTGACCTGTACAAAACAAAGTGTACCTTAATGCAAACTATGGACTTTAGTTAATAGTAATGTATCAATATTGGTTCATATCTTGTAACAAATATATACACTAATGAAATATGTGAATAATTGGGGAAATTGTGTCGGAGTTGACCTCTGTACTATCTGTTCAATATGCATTATGCTAAGCAATGTGCATTCATTTCCCTTGCCTCTTCCAAACCACTCTCCCTCTTTCCTAAAACTGCCCAGCTCCAATCACGTCAGTCCCCTCATGTTGCAGTTTATTTAAAAATCTCAAATGCCCCTTCACCTGTCAATTATTTTAGCTACTGGATCACTGCCTCTCTCTCCAACATCACTCCTGTCCTAATTCTTGGAGCTTTTAATAACAGTGTAAGTGATGCTTTCAACACTTTGGCTTTTCAACTTCTATCACATCTTATTAACTCCGATGGACCTTGGAGTCATCAGACCTTGTCATTACCAATAACTGAAAACCCTCTATAGTTTTAATTTAAAGGATCCTACCTTCCAACCATCATCTTCTATTTTTCTAACTCACTCTGAAACCCAGCTCTGCGCTCATTCAGGGCAACTGACTTCTGCTCCAGCTACTCTGTAACTTTCAAGTTCTTAGAAGGCATCAAGTTTTCTCTACCTTGTAGCATTCAGCATTCACCTACAGACTATTGCTTCTTTCTGGGATGCAGTGCTTTGAACTCTGTCTCTTTTCAACATTAAAATTATAGCATAAACGTAACCCCCTCATACCAGTCTACCTTTTTATTTTCCATTATAGCACTCTGGTTACTAGCTTCTTAGCTATTGACCATCATCTGTTAGTATCTGTTTATTTCACATCTTCCACCATTAGAATATTAGCACCATTGACGGCAAAGGCTATGCCTGCTTTATTCACCACTGTATAGCCAAAGCATGATATTTGGCATTCAGTATTTGACAAATAAAAGAAAAAATGACGAACGCAAAGAGAATGAAACGAATTAAAGAAATTCTGCCATGTTACGAAACTGAGTGAAACATGGAAATCAAGATCACGTTTTAAAAAAAAAATTCTATGGGCTGGATGCGGTGGCTCACGCCTGTAATACCAGCACTTTGGGAGGCTGAGGAGGGCAGATCACAAGGTGAGGGGTTCAAGGCCACCTGACCAATACGTTGAAACCCCATGTCTACTAAAAATACAAAATAGCCGGGCATGGTGGCGTTCACCTGTAATCCCAGCTACTTAGGAGACTGAGACAGGAGAATCGCTTGAACTTGGGAGGCAGAAGTTGCAGTGAGCTGAGATCGCACCATCGCACTCCAGCCTGGGCAACAAAAGTGAAACTCTGTCTCAAAAAAAAAAAAAAATTATTTAACTCTGCTGGAACACTTCCGCTATTTTAAGTTATATAAAAGAATCCTAAATATCAATTAGATTTCTCACTTGAAAGTTGAGAGAATCTACAGTACCTAGAACTGCTGTGATAATCAAACAAAATGTTCATAGGGCACTGTAACAGAGTCTAGCAAACAATAAGTAGTCAATAAGTGACGATTATTCTTAAAAGAGCATTTAAAAGACTTTGATGATAAAGTCCTGTAAAATGAGGATATGATTATAGGAAGAAAAAAAGACTTGAAAGAGGTCTGTTTCTCTACTGATGCTGTCCTTTCAACTCTAGAATATCCAGCTCAGAGATTATTTTTCCCTTACAAAAATCAGGAAATATTCTTTCAACTTCCTACTGAAGGCCGGAAATAGTCACAGTCCAGTCCAGGACAAAACAATACAAAGCCAAAGGCCAGGCAGGGTGGCTCATGCCTGTAATCCCAGCGCTTTGGGAGGCCAAGGCGGGCAGATCACAAGGTCAGGATATCGAGACCATCCTGGCTAACACGGTGAAACCCCGTCTCTACTAAAAATACAAAAAAAAATTAGCTGGGCATGGTGGCGGGTGCCTGTAGTCCCAGCTACTCAGGAGGCTGAGGCGGGAGAATGGGGTGAACCCGGCAGGCGGAGCTTGCAGTGAGCCAAGATCGTGCCACTGCACTCCAGCCTGAGCAACAAAGCAAGACTCTGTCTCAAAAAAAAAAAAAAAAAAAAAAAAATACAAAGCCAAGGAAAAACATTTTTAACAAACTCCTTCCCAAAGGCTTACATTTGTATTTTTCACAAAACACCAATAATGACTATCATATGATCTTTCTCATTCTGTTAGAATAAATTTAGTACCAAAACATATCCATTAGTCGGGTAAAGAAAAAGTTACATGATGTTTTCCACCTTTAGTCAACTATATCTTTGGCTAAAGCTAAGCAAAGACAGTTAACATATAAAATAACAGCAAAACTTAATCTAGAGGTCAATTACAGAACTTTAATTTTAACTTGTTATTGAAGATAATCAGTATTTATCCTCACGTCTATGTTTACATAAATATAAACAAATCAATCAACACTAACATAGAAAAATTATTTATGTGAAGACATGTTAAAGAAAACGGCTATTATCATTGTGAAAGTTCTCTTGATTTCTAAACAAATGAAGGCTGTTCAGCCCATCATATGACCTAATTGGCTGGGCATTCTTCACTAGTTACTCACACACTGGAAATTGCGCAGTAGAAATCATGTGAATATCTTGAGACGTTAGAAAAAAATTTCAGAATGTTTGTTAAAGTTTTAGGTTTGGTATAATCAAGTATTTCAAGATTTAAAAAGAAACTACAACTTAAATGAAGTAAACAGGGATTACATCTAGTAGGCTTTCTGAAATTGAGATAATTACTAAAAATTACTAATTTTCATTCAGTAATTATGTATATGTGTTAGATATTCTACATGCCACTAACCAAAATTAATGTTAAACTAGAAAATAATTTCCAAATTTGTCCAATACTAATAGACTTAAAAGAAATACATTTCTAAGACTGACAGGATACAATAAGTAGTCAATAAGTAACGATAAGTAATTAAGTAATAAATGCAGAAGAATATATACAACATTCTTATTACATGTAAATGGGGGGAAAATGTATTCACATTTGTGTAAAAGAATGGAAAGATACAAAATTTACGTAAGTGGTAACTTATAGAAGATGAGAGCAGCGAAACAGGGATAGGAATTAGACTTGTCAATGTCCATCTTTTTAAATTGTTTTAACATTTGAGCCATGTGAATACATACTTATTTTTAAAAGAAATAAATACTTTATATAATCAACAAACATAAATATATATGCATATGCATATGTATATGTGAGTTTAAAGAACAGAAAATGGGTTTGTCTGGTTTTTTCCTTTTTAAGAGAAGGAATTAAGAAAAATTTTTCACAACACCACTGAGAGCCATGTTTCCTGGTCACAGTTCTGACTAAATGAAACTTCACAATAATAGCTCTTTTCTCCCCCTTTAAAACCTAAGAATATTTTTCAAACTACCATAATTCTAAGACAGATGACTTTAAAAAAAGAAGCCAAAAGAGAAAAAAAGGTTAAAATAATATGAATTATTTCATTTTATTTATCCTCTAAATGATTCTACTATATATTACTAGTTACAAATCATTTTGATTTAAAAAATACAATATTACTGAAAGTGAAATGCTCCTCCTAAAGTCCTTCCACCATCTCTGAATCTGTCCTCTTAAAAAGATCGCCGCACTTTACAAAATTTCAGGCTAACACCAAATAGCAATAATAATTTTTTTTCTAAATCTAGATTGTTGCCTGAAACACAAATCACTTCTGAACTGCATTCCAATCTACAACATTCCTCTACTTCAAAAGACTCTACCTGAATTTGTCTTTGGAAAACTCATGTCCTCTTTTCCCTCTCAACCCACTTACATGTTATAGTCTTCTCTAAAGCACATCAGGTATTTAGAATACCTCAATGGCAGCCTACAATACTGTTCAACATTCTTATGCGACCATCAGCAACCCATATCCAATCACAGTTTCCTCCAAAACATAAACCAGATTTCTATAAGTTGTCCATATATACTAATTATAAAATAATTTAAAATATTAAAGGCAAACTACAAATGTTTAAGAGGAGCTGGAGGAAAGGGGGATGAGTTATTGTTTAATGGGCACAGGGTTTCAGTTTGGGATGATGGATAAGTTCTGGAGACAGACAGCGGGCATGTGAGTATACTTAATCCTACTAAAGTGAACACTTTAAAATAGTTAATTTTATTGTATATATAATTTACCACAAAAATAAAAACAAATAACATATTAGGAATGCCACCATAAGTATCCCACAGTTTAGTGCTCACCTGAAAGAAACCTAAAATTTTCTATTACTAAGTTGATCTGTGAATATGTAACCCAATTCTGTAAACGCTTATGCATGTAGGCACAGGGCCTAGGACTCACAATAATTTTGGAAGTACACGTAAATGTTTTATTTCTTTTAAAACAAGAAGAAAAAAGTGAACTTTTGCTTCAAAGAAAATGTTTTAATATATAATACTAATATATTTTTCCTTAAAACAATGTAGTCATAAAATATTTTTAATTTTTTTAATAGAAAGAGGAGCCCAAGAAGACAAAAGTGCCTAGGGCCCAGGAATGTCCTAATATGACCCTTATGTTTACCATTTCCTAATATGAGATTATCAAGGGAGAACAAGAAAGAAAAAACACAACTGGAGATGTATGTTAAACAGTATTATTGAAAGAAAATACATACATGAGCAATTATTGAAGGCCTGACATTTTTTTAAAACCTCAATAATATTAGAATGGTATCTCAATTATTGTTTAATCCTTTTCAAACAACTCTTTATTAACAAGAGGTATAACAAGATATCCCATTTATGCACACAATAAATGCTTGAAGATTAACTTAATGGGGATTTAAAAGAACCAGAGAGCAATAACTATTAAAGGAGTCAAAACTAAGTGAGTAAGTGGGAAGAAAAAAGAAGAAAAAGGAGGGAAGGAAGAAGAAAAGGAAAAAACACTGACTAAAAGAACAAACAGATCCACCTTCATTATCGAATTCACTGAAGTTGAAAATATTTCCTAAGTAAACTCATAGACTTAGTATAATGTCAATTAAAATCCCCAACTGACAATTCAAATATTAAGGAATATACTGAGAGAAAGTATGTAGTTTAAAAATAAATATGAAAAACTAAAAAAAATGAGCATGTGTCTAAACCTATTGATACTGGATAAAAACAAAAAGACAAAAAATATTTTTAAAGCTATAAATTAGTAAATTTCAAATATGAAAGGAAATAAAATAGGGAAAATAATAATAAACATTTCTGGGAGAATAACGTTAACATTAAGAAAAACAAATTGATCTCTACAGCTTTGTGCTACAACATACAGAATTTCAGATGCATTACAAATTGATTTTTTAACTGGAAAAACATGGAATATTTATAGTTGTAAAAGGGGGTTTGCCTTTTGACAAACAACTTCAAGCAATTGACCCAATTATTACAGAAAGCGTCTACAAAATGAAAAACACCGAAGTAAAGATAAAAAGGAAACCAACAAAGTGAAGAGAGAGAGGAGGGGCTTTGCAGCTGCAATGCTAGATAAAACTTTTATCTCCAAAATGCACATGAAGTGGTCTAGCTTGGTGCCCAGTCTTCAACAGAAACTGTCACAAAATATGACTTCAATCAAAAGCAGGCAGAGTTGCACTCATTCAGCCATGTGCCAGGTACTGTTATAAACACTTGATAAAGCTAATCTCAAAGTCACAACAACTCCCCTATGAAGATGATACTATTATTATTCTTAGGTGGTAAACTGGAAAAGTAAGGCCCAGAAAGATAAGTTACTTACCCAGTATGACATAGCTAAATGGCTAGAGCCAAGATTTGAACCCAGGCATTCTCCCTCTAGAGTACATGATCTCCACCACTAAGCTATTTGCTTCTTTCCCATGTGCAACAGAAGTTCATGGACCATTCATTCTACAAATCTACTAGGTTTATATCTAAGAAACTTCAGTTCATTAGATATAAGTTACTAAAATGCAGGAAAAAACACAAATAAGAATAGTTTTGATAGAGTGCTTTGAGGATTCAGAGGATCATACCATTGTCAGTAAAGGGGATAAGGAAAGGCTTTGTGGAAGAAGTGGTATCTACATTGGGTCTGAAAGGATATGAGACACAGAGATGGGAAATTAAAGAGGAAAACATTCCATCCTCAAGAAACAAAAGGACCAAAAGCATCAAACTAAGGTAGAAAAAAAGCACTGGAACTCAGATAGTTGAGCTGAAATGAATGTTATACAGGAGGGAAAAAAATGAAAATGCATGATTCAGAAGACTAAGGAGCTTAAACTGAACTCAGTATGGAAGGTAGGGGAGTAACATGAACACAGCTGTTATACGGCAACTGGATATAAGAATTAGAAAAGAGATGGAAACAGAAAAAAAATGCCAGTGGGTTAATTCGCTAGCCTAGGCAAGGTAAGGAACGTCCAAAGTAAAGTAGGACAAATAAAAATGGAGAAAAGGGAACGCGATATGTAACACACAGTAGTTAAAAATTTTCAATTAAATTAATGAACCAGGTCAGAATATACTAAAATGTAAATACAACAAAGGGATGGATGGGACCACATTTGGGAGATTCTTTGGGAACGTCATAGTGGGAGGACATTATGGGCCAAAAAAAGCTAGAGTGGAGGGTATACAGCCCCTGAAGAAAACTGCCTCTGCACCATTTGGCTATGCTCAAAAACTTGATTAAGGAGACTTTAAAACGTCAACATTTTGAGAGATTATGAAGGCAGATGGACAGAATTGAGTAATAAATGTGAAGGTGACTCAAGTTTTAGTGCAATGAAAGAATCATCTTGTCATTAATAGAAATGGAAAAACTGAAAGAAAGTAGGTTTAAAACAAAAAGAGACAGGAGTTCTGGTTTCTAGATGGTGAGATGAAGGCTTATATAGAACGATATCCAGAAATAATGCAGTGTCCATAAGACTAGTGCTTGAGTAAGAAGAGCTGCAAATACAGATGCCATCTACATAAAGACAGCTGGAAGTTGTGAGACCAAAAGAAAAAATCTTAGAAATAAAAAATGAATCAGGGAAAGTTTCAGGAACATCTATATTTAGGGGTGAAGGAAGAAGAGGCAAAGAAGACACTGGCAAAGGCTTCATATTACCACTGCAAATATCAAGTGTAATGCAGCAGTGCTTCCTAATCTTTTTCACATGAAAGTGCACAAATAAGACAATACCATTTGTGTGGCATAAAGCAGTAAATGAAACTGCTAAAGGCTAATGCTGTTAGCCCAGGAGCTGAAGAAATCACCCATATCCACACCAATTAATCCAATTACTGTACTGTTTGGAAAGCTCTGTAATACATGCCAAAAAGTTTAAGATTCTATTCCCCTAATCTTTCAACAGAAAGAAAAAATTTCTTTTCAATTCCACCTAACTGATTCATTAGGTGGAATGTTGCAAATCTGACAAAGGAGAAAAGAACTCATAAATAACCATGAAACTTGGTAACTGAGAAATCACTAATAACTCTAAAATCAGTGGAAAAAATGAGATTCCAGAAGAAAATATGAAGGAGGGTGATTAAAGCATCAACTTTTTACCAGCCATGTTACCCTAACTGGTTAAAAGGTATATAAACTAAATGAGATGATTCTTCAAATCTTTTTAATAAAAATATTCTCTTTTTAAACTAAATTTAATGCTAATATACTTTACCTCCTGATCCTTCTTTTTTAAGAGACGGGGTCTCACTATGTTGCCCTGACTCGTGTACATTGGCTGTTCATGGGTGTAATCATCACACACTGCAGCCTCTAACTCCTGGGCTCAAGCGATCCTCCCACCTCATCCTACCGAGGGGCTGGGCCTACAGGTGCAAGCCACTGCACCTGGCCTTTCGTGTTTTTTAAAAAGAAAGAATAAAAATCCTTTGAAACGCTAAATACTTACCCAGTGCGAGACTGACCAACTTTATCACAGATATCCAAAATGAGGCCCCAGTCCTCAGCAGTATTCATCTCGCTGGTTGCTTTCTCTGTAGATTGTAAAGGGGATTGCAGAAACATTATTTTTCAAATCTTTAAAAGATACATAATCACATTTAAATCACAAAACTATAGTATAATCAAGTCTTAACAACAAATCAGAATAGTTGCCAGCATTCTAGTTATTTTCATGGCCATCTTGAAAAGATGTACGCTCATTATCTCTTGCAATTATTTTCCCTATTCACAATGCAGTTGCCTCTTTACTTAGTATAAAATAAAAGGCATTGATTTTTCTTTATAAAAAAATTATATATAGGTCTACCACCATCTGCAAATAGAAAGACTAAAATAAGAAATACTATTTTCATTAGCAAAAGATTATTTACTTGCTAGTAAATCTTTATAAAAATGTTTCAGGTAATTAAGTTAATTATTTAGCTAGTTTTGTGGATTTTTTTTTTGATAATATGGAGAGGGGACTGAAGGAAAGAAAACCAAGTTTTGACTGAATGTATTTCCTTAAATAAAAACGTATTTAAGTGTTCAGAGAAAATAACTGCCTGTTGTTTATCCTAAGAAATTATTCTTCAAAAGTGAAGAGGAAATAAACACTTTCTCAACAAAAATTGAGGGACTCTACTGCAAGTACACCTGCCTTGAAAGCAATGTTAGCAGAACTTCTTAACAAAGAAGAAAAATTATGTAAGTCAGAAACTTGTATCTACATAAAGAAAAAAACAGCATTAGAGGCTAGGCAGGATGGCTCATGCCTGTAATCCCAGCATTTTGGGAGGCCGAGGTGGGAGGATCACTTGAGGATGGGAATTGGAGACCAGTCTGGGCAGCAGAGCAAGGCCTCATCTTTAAAAAAATAATTAGCTGGGCCTGGTGGCATGCACCTGTATTCCCAGCTACCGAGAAGGCTGAAGTGGGAGGATCACTTGAGCCCAAGAGGTTGAGGCTGAAGTTAGCTATGATCGTACACTGCACTCCAGTTAGGCAACAGAGCAAGATCCTATCTCTTTAAAAAAAAAAAAAAAAAAAAAAGAGGAAGAGAATAAAGATGGAATACCCGAAGATAAAAATAATAACTTTTATTTTTATTTTTATTTTTCTTCTTACTCTAACAAAAAATAGTTTATTCTAAATAATAACAGCAACAATGTATTCATTACCTACGATTTTATATATATTCTGATATTCTTATGTATGCTTCCATGTAAGTAGAATGAATGACAGCAATGACGCAAGGGATGGGAAGGAGGAATTAATAATATTTTCATTTATTATAAGGTACTTGCATTACACATGAAGTGGTACAGTGTTATCTGAAAGCAGACTTGGATTAGTTGTGAATGTATCTTGAAAACTCTTAGGCAATTACTAAAAAAAAAAGATTTTAAAAAAGTATAACTGCTATGCTAAGAAAGGAGATAAAATGGAATCATGCAAACTGCTTAATTAAAATCACAAAAGCCAAAAAAAGAGTGAAATAGAAAATGGGAACAAAGAACAAGGGCAATGAATAGAAAACAGTAACAAATATGGTAGCTATTAACACAAGTATATTAACAGTCACTTTACATGTCAATGGTCTGCATACTACACCAATTAAAAGGCAGAAATTGTCAAAGTGAATCAAAAAACAACACACAACTGTATGTTGTCTATAAGAAACTCATTTTAGACATAAAAACACATAGAGATTAAAAGTTAAAGGATGAGGCCAGGCACAGTGGCTTTTGCCTGTAATCCCAACACTTTGGGAGGCCGAAGTGGGCAGATCATTTGAGCCCAGGAGTTCAAGACCAGCCTGGGCAACATGACGAAACCTCTCCTCTACAAAAAAAATACAAAAATTAGCTGAACATACTCAGGAGGCTGAGATAGGAGGATCACTCAAACCCGGGAGGTGGAGGTTGCAGTGAACCAAGATTGCACCACTGCACTCCAGCCTGGGCGACAGAGCAAGACCAAAAAAAGAAGAAATGGACAGGTCAGGTAGGCAGAAAATCAGAAAGGACATAGTTGAACTCAACAACACCATCAATCAACTGTATATAATTGACAATTGACATTTATAGACTACTTCATCCAAAAACAACAGAATACACATTCTTCCCAAGCTCTCATGCAGCATTCACCAAGACAGACCACCTTCTGGGTCATAAAACAAACCAAGACAAATCTAAAACAATAGAAATCACATAGTGATTACAATGGAATAAACTAGAAATCAATAACAGAAAGATAGCTGGAAAATCCCAAAGTACATGGAGACTAACACACTTTTAAACAAGAGTAAAAAAAAAACTTAAAAGAAATTTTAAAATACTTTGAACTAAGTGAAAATACAACTTCGCAAAATTTGTGGGATGCAACAAAAGCAGTGGTTAGAGGGAAATTTATAGCATTGAATACATATTTTTAAAAAGAATCAAGATCTAAAATCAATAAGCTTCTACCTTAGGAAACTAGAAGAGCAAATTAAATCCAAACTAAGCAAGCAGAAGAAAACAAACAACAAAAATTAGAGCAGAAACCAATGAATCTGAACATAAGACCAATACAGAAAATCAGCACAACCAAAAGCTGGTTATTTTAAAAGATCAATAAAACCGATATGCTGCTAGCCAAGCTAAACTAAGGAAAAAAAAAAAAGAGAGAGAAAACACCAATTACTAATATCAGAAATGAAAGAAGGGACATCACTACAAACCCCATGGACATTAAAAAGAAAATGAAGGAATATTATGAACAACTCTATGCCCACAAAATTGATAACCTAGATGAAATGGACCAATGCCTTGAAAGACATAATCTGCTGAAATACATACAAGAAACAGACAATCTAAATGGCCCACATCTATTTAAAAAACTGAATCAATAATTAATAATCTTCTAAAACAGAAAGCACAGGCCCAGATGGGTTCACTGGTGAATTTTACCAAATATTTAAGGAAGAAATTATACTAATTCTGTGTAATCTCTTGCAGTATATAGAAGCAGAGGAGATACTTCCTAACTCATTCTGTGAGGCCAGCATTACTCTGATACCAAAACCAGACAAAAACATTACAAGAAAACTATAGGCCAATATCTCTCATGAACATAAATGCAAAAATCCTCAACAAAATGTTACAGGTAGTAAGACAGGTACGAGCAGGGCAGGAGAGGGTTCTCCCACACCCACTAGGAATGTTGGGTGATTCAGCAATTATCACATTGCCTCTCTAAAAGTGATAAATTGGCAGCTTGCACCAAGGAGAGAGAAGCTCCTAACAGTCCACAAGTGTTAAACATTAAAGTGTTAAATGAATGCAGGCACCAGGGAGAAGCAAAAAAGGGGGCTCCAATAAAATCTCAGGCACTGAGTGAGTGAGCCCAGGCAGGGGCATTAAGAGACAAAATGGCAGTATACGACCTTCCTGGGGCACTCCACCAGAAAAGGGAAAAAAGCCTCCGATGGGCATGCATACAACTTTCTAAACACACTGTGCATGCTCACCTCCCAAGTATAAGGAGGGCACTGCGCATGTGGGCCGCCCACTCTAAGGGAAGAATCACAGGAAAGGGGCCAACCTATAGAGTCCTGGGATCAAAGTTAAAAACCGCACTTACTCTTCAAGTCACCCACTTGGATTTCTTCCAAGGGCACTTTCCTTTCTTTCCTGCTGTAAAGCTTTTTAATAAACTTCCACTCCTGCTCTGAAACTTGCTTCATCTCTTTTTCTGCCTTACGCCCCTTAGATGAATTCTTTCTTCTGAGGAGGCAAGAACTGAGATTGGTGCAGACCCATACAGACTCACTGCCAGTAACTCAGATACCTTCCACCGATTACAAAAACATCAGCAAACTGAATCCAACAATGTATAAAAAGAATTACATATGCCATGACCAATTAAGATTCATCCCAGGTATGCAAGGCTGATTCAACATTTGTACCGTTACCCTCCAAGAAATCAGAAGACTCTTTTCTGGGGGCTCTATGTCAGCCCAAGAGGAAAGACCTAAAGACAGTAATATTGCAGGGGGAGGAGTGGAGAGGCAGAATTCCATAGTCAATGGCCCACCAGACCAACCTACAGTGAAGTTAAAAGTCAATGAGACCTAACCACATGATCAGAACTTCCAATGTGCTTTTGATTTCTCCAGTATTAGCCATGGGCAAACAAGCAAGCTATCTGAAACTATCTTTTTTTTTTTTTTTTTTTTTAAGACGGAGTCTCGCTCTGTCACCCAGGCTGGAGTGCAGTGGTGCGATCTCGGCTCACTGCAACCTCCACCTCCCAGGTCCAAGCAATTCTCCTGCCTCAGCCTCCTGAGTAGCTGGGACTACAGGCACATGCCACAACGTCCAGCTAATTTTTTTGTATTTTTAGTAGAGACGGGTTTCACTGTGTTAGCCAGGATGGTCTCAATCTCCTGACCTGGTGACTCACCCACCTTGGCCTCCCAAAGTGCTGGGATTGCAGGCGTGAGGAAACTACCTTCTAATGTGGAAGATAAAGAAAAAGACCAAAAAAAGAAAAAGAAAAAAGCAACTTAAGAGAAAAAGAATACACACGTAGGAGGAAAAAAAACTTTAAAAAAATCATTATATTTCAAAACAACAGCTGTACAGAAGCAGAGGGTAACCAGTCTTGACTGGAACACTGCAATTCAAAGAGCAGATATGCTGAAAGATAACATCACCAAGATCTTCAATAGCAGTCTCCATTTTTTAAACACAGATGGGTTGGGGGGACAGTGGAAATGACTCATACCAAGATTCTTATCTGTAATGGTTGGTCTTGACCAAGTGATAATGAAATTCTTGTTTCCATACTCTCCTCCATGCCCTGTTGCCTAGATCAACAGAGTACACTTATTTCCTCATTTTGACCTACTACTGAGAGCAGAAGTACGTCAAGTGAGTTTAATCGCAGAAAATAAAAAGCAGTCAACTCTGACCAAATATTTTACAGGTGTATAATACCTGCTATATATCACAGCATCACCTGCTAGTTAGTCACTACCACCGGACAACTAAAATAAGCATCTAGTAAAGACCAAGTGGATAATAACCAATAGGTATTGGTTAGGTAGGGTACCTACCTAGCTACCCTAAAATCTTCTAACATAGAAGATAGCAAAAGCAGGTTATTCACACAGATTAATTCCTTGCATAAGAATTAATACAAAGATCCAAACAATTCATGATCTCAATAAAGCGATTTACTTGCAGGCAATTATAAAATTTGAACACATATTCAGCAAAATGGAATAGCCTTCTAGTCCACGCCATACCCTACCAGAAGTAGCTTACAATCTAAGAAAGGAAATGAAACCAGCAGATAGACTTAGATTTAAGATTGAAAGGGTTTCAAATAATGCAAAGCCCAAAGCAAATTGAAAGACAGGTAAAGATCCTGGAGAGAGAGAAGAGGAGAATCAGGAAGGGCTTCCCGATGTATTTAGAAAATAAGAAGAGGACAGAATAATGAATTAATCTGTTTCTAATTAAGTGAATAAAGTAAAAAGTAAAGTCATCAAAACAGAAAAGAAGTATAATGAAGAATCTAGGCTGGCTGAAATACAGACTACTTTGTGAAAATTTGGAATAATAAGAGAACAACATTAAGACCTAAAATACTATCTCAGGTGTTTGCACTGCTTCAAGAAACATCAGAATGCCAAGAGTTCCAAATAAGGAAATAAAACAACAAGACCTAGACTTTTTTGAAAAATATTAATCTATCACCAATATGTAAAAGCAGTTTGGAAGAGGGAAAAGAGGAGAACTAGCTCAAATTTACCTATCATTGCTCAAGTTTTGGTAATATATTGTAAATCCCTTGAAAATAATAAGGTTTACTTTGGGGAATTATTTCAATAACCATGCTCTCAGTCTAAGTGCTCAAAAAAATGATAAGACTACTCATGTATCTGCAATATGAAGCCACAAAAAGTCATAGTAACACATTGACCTTAAATAATACCTGGTTTAGCCGGGCGCGGTGACCCACGCCTGTAATCCCAGCACTTTGGGAGGCCGAGGTGGGCGGATCACGAGGTCAGGAGATAGAGACCATCCTGGCTAACACAGTGAAACCCCATCTCTACTAAAAATACAAAAAATTAGCCAGGCTTGGTGGTGGGCGCATGTAGTCCCAGCTACCTGGGAGGCTGAGGCAGGAGAATGGCGTGAACCTGGGAGGTGGAGCTTGCAGTGAGCTGAGATCATGCCACTGCACTCCAGCCTGGGTGACAGAGCAAGCCTCCGTCTCAAAAATAATAATAATAATAATAATAACAATAATACCTGGTTTAATGGTTTTCAAACTTAACTTTCAAATGCAGAAACCCTCTACAATGCACTGCTAACTACCCAGAGGGCTAGCATACTTCTGATGCTAACTACCCAGTCAGCAAAGACTTCACAGGTTGAAGACACAGCTCTCCATAAGACTCCCTTCACTTCAAACCTCAGACACAAGCTCTGGGGTCCCCAGGCACTTCTGACCAACTGGATACAAACTGGAAGTTCCCACTACCCTTCAGGATTGATAATTCACCATAGCAACTCACATAGAAAGTACTATACTTACAATTAGAGTTTTATCACAAAAAACACAAACCAGGACCAGCCAATAGAGATACGCAGTTGTCTCTTGGTATACATGGGAGATTGGTTCCAGGATCTTCCACAGATACCAAAATGTATGGATGCTCAAGTCCCTAATATAAAATGGCATTGAATTTGCATAAAGCCTTTGCACATCCTCCTATATACTTTAATTTCTCTAGATCACTTATCATGCCTAATTCAATGTAAATGTTATGTAAATAACTATACTGTATAGGGCATAATGACAAGAAAAATGTCTCTATGTGTTCGGTACAGACATGATATTTTTTCCTCTACAAGTTTTGATCCACTGTTGTTTGAATCCATGAATGCAGACCCCCAGATACAAACAACCACCTGTATGGAGCTAGATCTGGGAGGGTTCCAAACATAAAGCTTCTGTGCTAGGAAGCTTCATCACCCTCCAAATACATCAGTGTGTATCACCACAATGTGTATCACCTACCAGAATGCTTAACTGAGCTTCAGTGTTCAGAGTTTTTATCCTGTTTTATCAAAACAACCTGTTTTACCAAAACAAACATTTAACTCTGTGAGATGAATCCACACATCACAAAGCATTTTCACAAATAGCTTGTTTCCAGTTTTTATCGCGGAATATTCGGTTTTTCAGTGTAGGTTTCGATGGACTGGGAAATGTACCTTCATGGATTCTACAATTGGGGTGTCATTATATAGGTATGATTTATGAAATAGGACCACACAGTGGAACTTAATCTCCAGGTCCCTATCCTTCCCAGGAGGTCCTATGACTCAAAGCCCAAATCCTTTAATCACATGGTTAGTCCTTCTGGAGTGGCCAGCCCCCAGACCAAGTCATCTTATTAGCATAAACTAAGCTATTATCCCAGGGGCCCACCAAAAATAACAAAGATGCTCTTATCACTCAGAAAATTCCAAGGATTTAGAGGCTGTCTCCTAGGAAACAAAGACTAGTCAAATTATTTATCATTCAACACTATAAGAGAATTTTATCTTAAAAGAAACCCAATATATACAGCAAACCCAAGTGGAAGTGCTCTGATTGAGGAGTCCCAGAGCCTGCTCCCTAGGTACTCAACCCCTCTAAAGCCCAAGAATATTGAGTGAGTCATTCTGAACAATATCACTTACTTCATCTTAGAAAAGGAAAGCATGTTATTACTTTGGTCTGGTAGTGCATTTTAATAATTAATTCATCATTCTCACTGACTGGTAGCCAAGCAGGTTGTTTTTTTTTTAAGTGCATTTTTTAAAAGAACACACTTAAATTCTAAAACCTGCCACCTTATTCAAAAACATAATAGCTAAGCATATTAAAACTTATTAAAAAGTTAACAGTTTATCTGATCAAATATAAATTGCCTACTATCATAGTTGAGTGCTATCTTACAGTTCTTGATTAATGATACATCCAGGAACATATGATACAGTTATCAGCAGATATTATGTTGAAAACTCATGAACTACTTTATTACTTTCCTACACATAAATAGAATCAGCATCTGATTCATATTTGTATGGATGGATCAGAAACACAACCCACTTCAGAAATCTAAAATTGTTCACATCATTTATTGAGGCTGTCTCAAAATCATCAAAATCAGTGGCACAATTCTTCTCAGTTATAAAAGAACAAGTATTTTTTTTTTAATCAGAAGGATATAAACTACCTACAACATGGTTCTGTGAATAGCAAATGAAGTCAAAACTATTTATTTTCTAAGACAAAAACAGGGTTTGTGGGAAAAGGAAAAGTGACAAAAATAACAGACTTGCTTCTAAAGAATTCAAAGCTTCATAATGATCTCATTTTATCCTGAGAATATCCTTACACTAATACTCAAAAAGAGGAGATTGAGAAATCTGCCCAGCAGTACCCAGAAAAAACATACACAGAGCCTCATTTGAATTTCAATAGTCTTTTCAAAAGATTAGAGAACTTTTTCTGATAAGCAGCAACTTTTGATTTTTCTCAAAATTTATCACTGTCAAAGATCTGGGGAGGTAAGAAATGCTGACAGGAGGACTTCGCATCACATTTAGGTGGTGAGGAAAGGACTGTCATTCAGTCAGCCCGAAGATGTAACAGTTCATTAAAAATGGCCAATGGAAAAGTAAGTCTGAAAGAAATTATCCTCTTTGCAAATCAATTCTTCAAAAATCTTTCATCTAATATCCCTGATCCTCCTGGAAACTGTATCTGCAAAGAAATGTAATCTGAAGCTCTGCTAACCAGAAAAAGAAGTAGGTATCAAAAGAACAGCATGGAAGCATTTCAGAGAGGAACATAAAACAGAAATGATAACCTAAAGGCATTAGAAAAAACAGCTTAGAGGAGAGGTAAAATAGGGACAGAAGAATCAAAGAATACAAGTTCTTAATCCAGTGGATATCAGATGGTTAACATACTTGTATTCTGAATTTTCACATTTCTCTCCTATGTTTTAACAGTAACTGATTGCACACCTTAGAATCCAATAGTCCCCACATCTATTTCTAACTTGATTATAAAAGGAGCTAAAACGTATCCATTGGTTACTACATGCCAGGTGCTATGCTAAGTGCTTTACATGCATCATCTCCTCAAAACAAACCTACTGAGGATTAATGAACAAATAGGTATGTCAAGCCAGAGGATCCACACCTGAAGAGCACAGTGGCATAAAACCAATAAGGAGTGAAATACACCTGCAAGAAAAAAGTGGAAGGTGAGGCTCAAGAGTCACAAAGAAGCCAAATATAAGAGGCCTTACATGCCCTGCTGAAAAGTTCAAAGTACTGTGAAAGCGGTAGATTCTTCAGAACTTTTTTTTTTTTTTTTTTTTTTTTTTTGAGACGGACTCTCGCTCTGTCACCAAGGCTGGAATGCAGTGGTGTGATCTTGGCTCACCGCAAGCTCCGCCTCCCAGGTTCACGCTATTCTCCTGCCTCAGCCTCCTGAGTAGCTGGGACTACAGGCGCCCGCCACTACGCCCGGCTAATTTTTTGTATTTTTAGTAGAGATGGGGTTTCACCATGTTAGCCAGGATGGTCTCGATCTGCTGACCTCATAATCCGCCCACCTCGGCCTCCCAAAGTGCTGGGATTATAGGCGTGAGCCACCGCGCCCAGCCCTCTCTAGAAATATTTTAAACGGAGGGGCCACGCGTACATTCACATTTTAAAAATATCACCATCAGCCATCTGGAAAATAACTAGGGAAAAACTGGAAGCAGGGAAGAACAGCTGGAAGCTACTGTACTAATCTGAGAGAGTGGTGATCTAAACCTGGAATCCTTGAGGGCATATTCGGTACCAGGGTATCTGGCACAGGGTAGACAGGATACATTTGTTGTTTAGAATGTAGAAAATTACAACTACAGAAGTCAAGAATTACTCCCAAGTTCACGACTTGTATGACTAAGTAAACTTAGGTACCAACTATCAAAACAGACAAAAAGCATAATTGAGAAGAAAAATTTCAAATGGTTTTGAACATGCTGAACTTGAGATATTTGAAGCCTATTCAACTCTGGTAAAGAGTCAGAATGTCATGTGTTTTCACAAGTAATCCTCATAGCATCCGCATGATGTATAATGGATATTGCTATCCCTATTTACCAAAGTAGAAAGTGAATTCAAAGGGGTCCTATACCTATCCAACTATACATTGTGTCCATTTACTAAGAGTAAATGCTGCAGGTGCAATTTAAGCCCAAAGCCCAAGGTCTTTCTATCATATCACACTTCAGGAGAATGTGACATTAACATTTAAGATTCATCTAGCTTATGATTTATGAGGCTGACTGGACTAAGCAAAGCAGACTAAAAAAATGTCCAAGTATGTAGGATGTGGACTGGCCCAAAGCAGTCTGACTGGGAACACAAATATTCTATTATAGAAACAAAGACATATGATGATTTAGCAGAGGCAGGGAAATGATTCAAAGATGCCTCTTGGGTTTCAAGTCAAGATAACTACAACACTAAAATATTACCAAATTGGCTGGGCCCGGGTGCCTCACATCGGTAATCCCAGCACTTTGGGAGGCTGAGGCAGGCAGATCACTTGAGGCTAGGAGTTCAAGACCAGCCTGGCCAATATGGCAAAACCCCATCTATATTAATGTAAAAAAAGATTTAAAAACAAACAAAAATGTTACCAAATAATGAATGAAGAGCCAGACTTAGAAAGATAACTTCAGTTTTCTGACAGATGAATTTGTTTTGGAGGGAAAAAAGAACAGCAAATAGAAATACAAGACTAATGTTCTAGAAAAACACCAATAATTCATTATTTGATAAATAATTCTTGAGTGCTTTCTATGTACCAGACACTATCCCTAAAGTATTAGGGGAAAAAAAATGAAAAGTTCTCATCTTAATGGAGTTTATATTCCACACAAAAGATAATCAATCAATTAATGTCAGGTCACTAAGTACTATAAAGAAAAAGAAATGGAACAAAGAAACAGAGTGAGAGGGTAAAGATGCATTTTTTTTAATTCTTTTTTTTTTTTTTTTAAAGACAGGGTCTCACTCTCTTGCCCAGGCAAGAGTGCAGTCATAGCTCACTGCAGCCTTGACCTCCCAGGCTCAACCAATCCTCTGGATTCAGCATCCCGAGTAAATGGGACTACAGGCATACCACCATGCCAGCTAACTTTTTTATTGTTTGTAGAGACAGGGTCTCATTATGTTGCCCAGACTGGTCTCCAATTCCTGGCCTCAAGGAATCCTCCTGCCTCAGCCTCCCAAAGTGTAGGGGTTACTGGCGTGAGCCACTGCATTCAGCCCAAGAAGGATATTTTTTACAGAAGATTATTAGGTAAAGCGTCTCAGAAAATGACGTTTGAACAGAGTCCTGAATGGGTGTGATGAATATCCAGACCTTCAAATACCTGGGTGAGGAGTATCCCAGGCAAAGAGTACCATATAGCTACAGAGGCAGGAATGAGCTTGGAGCGTTCAGATTTAAGAAGCCTGGAATTCAAGAGAGTGAGTCTGGAGATCATAATCATATCAGACACACAGGAAGAAGCCATATTGTGAGCCACAATAAAAAAACTTGCATTTCCCTTTAAGTAGGATAGGAAGCTACCAGAGAACTCTGAGCAGGTAACTGACATTATCTAACATTTTTAAAAGATCACTGACCTTTGTAAATGAGAACTGATTGTAGAGGCAAGAGTGGTAACAAAGAAACCTACCAGAAGGCTCTTGCCACTGACTATAAGAGATAACAATGACTGAAGTAAGGTAAGAATGGTGAGACAGAAAAAGGTGATGATGTGTCCGGAGTTTGTTCCCTCTGGTGGGTTTGTGGTCTCGCTGACGTCAAGAATGAAGCCACGGACCTTTGTGGTGAGTGTTACAGCTCTTAAAGGTAGCACGGACCCAAAGAGTGAGCAGCACCAAGATTTATTGTGCAGAGTGAAAGAACAAAGCTTCCACAGCATGGAAGGGGACCCGAGCCGGTTGCTGCTGCTGGCTAGGGTGCCCAGCTTTTATTCTCTTATTTGTCCCCGCCCATGTCCTGCTGATTGGTTCATTTTACAGAGTGCTAATTGGTCCATTTTACAAACCTCTAGCTAGCTACAGAGCACTGATTGGTGCATTTTACAAACCTCCAGCTAGCTACAGAGCACTGATTGGTGCGTTTTTACAGAGCACTGATCGGTGCATTTTACAATCCCCTTGTAAGACCGAAAAGTTCTCCAAGTCCCCACTTGACCCAGGAAGTCCAGCTAGTTTCACCTGTCAATGAAATTCTGGATATATTTTTAAAGTACAGCCAAAATATCTTGCTGATAGGATGAATGTGAAGTGTGAAGAAATAAGAAGAATCAGTGATACTCCTAGACATTGGAGCTCAGTGACAGGAAACAGTAATCATGTTGTCGTCTACTGAGAAGGGCAAGGATGAAGGAATGAGCAGGTTTGGGCAAAGAACTAAGAATTGAGTTTTTGAATGTTTGTTTTTAGACTCTAAGCAGAATCCAAATGGAGATGCTCAGTAAGGAGATGGATATCTAGGTCGAGAGCTCAGGCAAGAGGCTGAGAGTAAGAACATAAATCCAGGAGTCACCAGAATACGCTAGGTATTTAAAGCTAAGAAATTAGATGAGGTTCTTTTTAAAATCTTACTTAATAAAAAGTACAGAAATTTTTCTAAGTGCTTTACAAATATTAACTCAACCCTCTTAACAACTCTCTGAGGTAAGAACTATTATTACTCTTATATTCCATATTAAAGATAAGGAAACTGAGACACAGATTATCTAAGCAACTAGGCCAAAAATCACACTACCGGTAAGCAGCAAACCTGGGACTGAATCCAAGCAGTGTGGCCCCAGTCTGAATTCTTAACACTAAGCTAAATTGCTTCCTAATACTCTAAGGGAAAAAAAAAAGTGGAAGGAGAGAAGAGGCTCCGGAACTGAGCCGCAGGGCACTCAACTTTTAGAAGTTGCAAAAAGGGGAAGCAAAAAAATTTAAAAGGAGCTAAGTAGAAAATGAGAAAAAGTTTGGTGTCCTGAAATCCCATGAATAAAATACTGTATATCAAAGAGGAATGCTTAAGAGATCAAAAAAGAAATGGACTAGAAAGTGACCATTGGATTTGGCAAGGTGGAAGTCACTAGAGACTTTGAAATACAAACTTGATGAAATAAGTTATCTTTACGTTTCTTCTAAATTCAGCTCTTGAATTATAATGTCCAAAATGAGATTCATTTATTCCATAAATGTTTACTGAAAGTTCTTCAGCATGCCAAAAACTGGTCTACAGCTAGGGATACGGCAGTGAAAAAATCAAACAAAAATCCCTGTCCTCACAGAGCTCACATTCTAGTAACATCTTTCGGTGTTTCTTCCAAGGGAAAAGCTATCACCAGCATTGTGTCTCTTTATAAAAAATGTTATATTATATAAATCAGTCAGTGAATTTCTGATTCAGCCTCAGATTAAGACTGAAGACAATTAATTTTGAAGATGTGCAAATGTATACGAGTGTTAAGTGATAAATAACTGTATCAAATGAGTTACTTTAATGTTATGACATATTCATTGGTAGATATGGTGAAAGAAAAAATTGTTAAGTGTATTCTATACACTGTATTCTATATGTTATACTATTAAAAAATAATATGAGTCTACTGGACTCTGTGCAAGGCTTATGTACTGGGAATCTCTGAGGGGTCTTCTTAGATAAACCTTTTGTAATATTTCAATACAAGGATTGTGAGAAGAGAATTGGTCCAATACCAAAACCTGAGCAACTTTAAAAAGTAAGCTTTTCTGGAGCAAAACAATGTTGCTACACTGAAGAAGTATAATGTCTGGCAGGCTCAACTGACACATTCTCAACTCAACAAACATTATTAAACACCTCCTATGTAGCAACCTCTCATTAAGGAGTATAAAACTATCTTGAATGCTAAATAATTCGGTAAAGGCAAAAATGCTAAAATAAGTTAGAGGATTTTGTAAGAAGGTGGAAATTAGAGTGGACTAGTGCAGCGGTTCTCAACTGGGAGGTATTTTGTCCTTCCAGGGGGCATTTAGCAATGTCCTGAGACTTCTAAAATCATGAGTGGGGGCTGGGTGTCACCGGCATCTAGTGGATAAAGGCCAGGGATAAGGCTGAACACCCTACATTGCACAGGACAAACTCCTATGACAAAGATATTTACCTGGCCCAAACCGTCAATAACGTTGCTACTGAGAAACCCTTTGCTACAGTAATCAGGAAATGACTCAGGTGTAACAAGTTGGATTCTGAGTTGGCCTTAACACACAAGGATATGTTGAAAGATAAAAGAAAGCATAAGCGTAGGACAAAAGCATAAAGGCAAGAAGGTGCCTGTGTTTGAACTGGGTGGTACAGCTACTAGGAACGGGTTTGACATTAAGAAATTTACCTGAATCCAATGCAAATATGTGTTCACAAAGTCAGTAGAATATAAAGGTGATTGGGTAGTTGCTAGCTAAATTATACAGGACCAAGAAAACTAGACAAAGGTGCTGTAAACAGAAGAAGCAAGTATTAAGAAGCTGTTTTAAGTATTTCCCCTAGAGATTCATGTAGTGAGATGTAAAACTGCTTGAGAACAGCAACTAGGCCTTGCTCATCACTGTATCTCTTATGTCACTGAGCTGCTGTGTCCTGTAGTGTGTGCTAACTGCTTATTAAATTAAATGCAATTTTCCAATTCATTAAGTATAATCGGTGATCTCCAAGGTTCTGTCCACTGCTAAGATTCAGGACACTCATTTAAGGTGGAACAAAAAAGGTAGCATCTAGTAAGTGCCAACCACATAAAGGTACTGTAGCAGGCCCTCTAGACATATTATTTAACTGCAGAATGGAATGATGTGTTTTCCCCTCTTTAAAGACAAGAACACTGGAACTCAAAGAATTTAACTTGCCTATGATTTCACCGTGAGCTGAGAAGTGGCAGAGGTAAGGAGTGAACTTTTTTCTACTCTTATATAAACTTCCAAGTTTCAGTGACATGCTCTAAGGAAGAGTTTAAAAAGAAAAATTCAACATCCACCTTTCATAATTAAAATACACAAAGACAAGTAAATTCATAAGGTTGTCCTTATTCACAGTAATGATTACATTCTGCCATAAGGGATTTGGAAATGGTATTTGGCTTGCTTTCATTCCACACTTGTGTGCCAAGGTAGTTCCTACGTGCGTTCAAATTAAACCAAAATTCTCTCCCCGGAAACTCAAATTCCCATAATTATTATCTTCAAGTCAGAAAAAAATAAAATAAAATAAAATTAAAAACCAAAAGCAAACCTATTGAATTGACATCATCAGTACCTAATACCAGTGATTCAGAAAACAACAAAAATGTAGCATTTCAAACTCTTTCCAGATTCAACAACTTCTTCCACACTTCTTTACACCTTTTAAAGTGCAGAGACCTAGCCTAAGAGAGACATCCCAAAGGCTCAGGTCCTCAATTCGGTTTCAGTCGTTGCCAAGTATTTCATCTTCATCGCTCCTAACATGTTTGAGAGTCTACCCTTAACCAGAGCTCCCTCCTTCAGTTACCGTTACAAAAGATTTTAAAATCCTCTAAGGAACCTTACCTAAAACATTCTGCCAGTTCCAGACGCTCAACATTTATTTGTCTAGGCAAGCACTTTTGGTACAGGGTTTACAATCCTAATCTAGCCAACATACGCCTTAAGCCCTTCGCTGTTCTTCCAGAAGCACAGTCCCTGCACCAGATGCTACACCAGCTGCTCCTCCCAGGCCCTTTACACCAACCCATTCAGCAGTTCTTTGGCAACCTACAGTCCTAGCTCAAGGCCCATTTCACAGGATGAGTCCCATTTCTTTCAAAGAGGATGCGCCAAGCCCTCAACCTCCTCCCAGCTCTGAAGGAGGGAGCCTCAGGAAAGGGGAAGAGCGAGCTCTTCCTTGGCCCTGGCCCGAGGGTCCTGAATGCAGGCAGGGGCTGGCAGAGTGAGCGTGCAGTCCGGTGAGGAATGGGCAGGGAGAGGCAAAAACACTTACCAACATCCTGATCGAAGGGATTGGTGGCAAAAAGAGGCATCTCCGCTGCGTGCCGAGGTGTCCCCGGGGACTCCCTCTCGACAGCACGGGAGTCAGAGCTCGACGTAGGATGGAAGACTCCTCAGGCAAAAAGAGCAACAGAGACCGACTCTACAGGGTCCGCGACAGCTCCTCCTCTCACCCAACCCCACCAACCGCGGCAGCAGCTGCGGCGGCGGCAACAGCAAGGAGCCGAGGAAGCCCCCGCGCGGAGCTTGTCGGGAATCTGGGCGACCTTGGCGCTGCCTGTCTCAAAGCTGCCCCGAGCCTGCCCCATCGGTAAAGGCTGAACAGGGAGTCCCCTCTGCCTGACTCCTCTTTTAATTAGTCACACATAAGAGTGGAATTAGTTCTTGTGTTTTCTGCTTTTCCCTTGGCTAGGAGTCTCCGTAGGACGGGGTCCTTCAGGCGTGCTGAAGCCTACTAACAACCCCAGGAGTGACTGGGAGAGCCAGGAGAAAGAAAGCAGGTTGAGTTCGGGTCGAGCTGTGCGCCTTTTTTCCTCTCGCTCTCTCGGTTATCATAACCTTGTATTCCCTCTGGAAGGAAATGGAAATTCCTTTGGATCATCTTCTAGGTAAACAGTTTAATTAGCTGCGTGAGGTGACAAACTTGCTCGGATGAAGTCATGGGAGCTGAACGAATTGGCCTGAATCCCAAGAGGGGAGTGTTCAGGGCGCGCGTGTCCCTCGGAGAGGCTGAGGTAACGCTGGCTCCTTCCCGGGAGTCCCTGAACGCCCGGCTTTGGAATCTGCAGACAGCTCTTCTAGCAGGGCGTTGGCACCTACTGACTAACCGTGCAATCACTCAGCAGCTGTGATGGTTGGTGACATGTCTTTCACAGCCCAAGATAGCCTCCCTAGACTGAGCAAAAAAAAGAAAACAGAAAAAAACTGGAGCTAAAAGTTGATCAGTGAGTGATTCCTAGCAACCCAAAATGTTGGTTTATTTATTTTACTTATAAGTTTAGTTAACCAATAAAAATTATTCTCTGTGTGATGGAGAAGTTTTAAGGAGCATCTACTAGAGATGTTGCGTCCCACTTGGAACAAACTTAGTAAGCACATCTTGTACGTAAATGGAAATTATCCCGCAAATTACGGCATCTCCAAATGTAGCGTGGAAACTAATATTGACATGTCAACACAGGATTAATACATAGTAATCAAAGAGTGCTTAAAAATTCATTAAAAATGAAGTCCCACCTCTAAAAGTGAAATGTGCAAATTAAAGTAGCAGTTAGATAATGTTTTGTCATTTAGGTAAAAATTACAAAGAATCGGCCGGGCGCGGTGGCTCACGCCTGTAATCCCAGCACTCTGGGAGGCCGAGGCCGGCAGATCACCTGAGGTCAGGAGTTCAAGACCAGCCTGGCCATGGTGAAACCCCGTCTCTACTAAAAGTACAAAAAATTAGCCGGGCGTGGTGGTGCGCGCTTGTAATCCCAGCTATTCGGGAGGCTGAGGCTGGGAATCGTTTGAACCCGGGAGCGAAACTCCGTCTCAAAAAAAGAAAAAAATTGCAAAGAATCAGGGATGTGAGGAGTCAGACACTCACATACTGTTGGATGAAGTGTAAATACTGTATAATCTTCCTAAGGGAAATATTTGGAAGCATGTAAAAAAATTTTTAAAACCTTAGGACCCAGCAATTCCATTTCGGCAAATTAATCCTAAAGACATTCTTTTAAAACATGAACAAAGGTATACATGGCAACATTGTCTAAAGGATCAAAGCATTGCCAGCCATTAAATGTCCCACATTGAGTGATTGGACAAATTGCTTCACCTCTTGGTGTCTCAGTTTCCTCATGTGTAAGAAACAGGAATAATAGGGTTGTGAGGATCAAATGAATTAGTACAAGCAAAACGCTTATTACAGTGCCTGGCATAGAGTAAGCACTAAATAAGTGTAACTGATCACTGTAATTTACACTGGTCAGTTAAATCATAGTACATAAGATGTGAAAACTACACAGCCATTTAAGGTGCATAATACAGATTCATATTTACATAGACATCTGAATACACAAGTTTTCAGAAGGAAGTTACAAACCTTATAAAATTACAAATGCCCACAATTTTAAAAATCTGAAAGGAAATACATGAGAATATTATGACATGATTGTCTCTGAGTGGCAAGATTCTAGACAATGTTTTTGTTCTTTGTGCATTTTATTATTCAAAATATTTTAATGATGAGCGTGTATTCCTTTCAAAAGCAGAAAAAATGTTAAAATACAACAATGTCAAAAATGGTATGTTGGTACCACCAGTTTCTTAATGTTTTGAAGGGCCAATACCAAAAGCGTGCTTGTGTTTCATTATGACAAGTATAGAATTATTCGGAAATATCACGACTGATACGGAAGTCAGAACATTCCCTCTCAAAAATGTGCTTTGATTGCTGGGCTGACAGAATTAGGTGACAACTTGTTTACCTTAAGATCCTGAGCAGTGTCTTGGGCCATTATCATAAGTGCCTGAGCCAGATATTGGTGGCTCAGACTGGGTGTATCAGAGCCAGATATTGATGAAAATGCATTTGTACATGTTCTGTACTCCGGACTGAATTACTCTGTTGCCAGCAATAAGCCAGGGCACAAACTGTTCAAGCCTTGATTATCAATATGTGTGCACTGGGAGTAATACATACTAGTATTGAGAGCAGTATCCGTGCATTCTGACCTAGAATGACTTTAGCTGTGGGGGCAGGGGGGTCTCGATGATTAATGTGCTGTATAAATAATAAACATTTTTTAAATATAAAATTTTTAATATTTAACTTAAAAGACAAACATAAAAAGTGAAATGCTTTGTATTTTGTGGTTAACGTCCCTTATTATCCCTTTAAAATACTGAAATTCTATGAGTTTCACTTTTAGTATTACCACAGTTTTTAAAACGTTTTGAAGACTACATATCAATGGCATATTAAAATGTTTCTGTAATGTTGTATGTTTAATAAATTCTGTGGTTGTTTGTTAAATGTTATATCCCTTTATTCTCAGTTTGATTTTGAAAATTCATCTACATTAAAAACAAAAATACTGGCCAAGTGTGGTGGCTCATGCCTGTAATCCTAGCACTTTGGGAGGCTGAGGCAGGTGGATCATCTGAGGTCAGGAGTTTGAGACCAGCCTGGCCAACATGGCGAAACTCGGTCTCTACCAAAAATACAAAAACTTAGCTGGGCGTGGTGGTGGGCAGCTGTAATCCCAGCTACTCAGGAGGATGAGGCAGGAGAATCGCTTGAACCTGGGGTATGGAGGTTGCAGTGAGCCGAGATCGGGCCACTTCACTCCAGCCTGGGCGACAGAGAGAGACTCTGTCTCAAAAAACAAAAAAAACAAACAAAAAAACAAAACAAAAAACAAAAAACTGGTGTGCAAATAGAGTTACTACACGAAAAAGTCTATAATTTTCAAATTCAGGAAAAAGAATATCCTAGGAAGGTTTTTAACAGTTTAATAATTCCAGCCCAAGTAGGAATGATTACTATTTCTCAGTCTTTCCTCTTCCTCTGCATTGTCACTACTTTAGTTTATACCCTCATCTCTTAGGCAAGTTACTACATTCACCTCCTGCTGTCTTTTCTCCTTTCCTACAGCTGTGGACTGAATTGTATCCTCAAAAATACAAATATTGAAGCCCTTATGCCCAATGTGATGGTATTTGGAGACAGAATCTTTGGGAGATAATTAGAGTTAGATGAGGTCATGAGGCTGCGGCCTTGCTAATGGGATTAGTGCCCTTATAAGAAGGACACTGGATTGCTTGCTGTCTCTCCCTCTCTCTGCCATGTGGGGATGTGGCGAGAAGGCAGCTGTCTGCAGGCCAGTAAGAGAGCCCTCGCCAGAACCCAACCATGCTGGTACCCTGATCTCAGACTTCCAACCTTTAGAACGGCAAGAAAATTAATTTCTGTTGTATAAGTCACTCACTCTGGTATTTTGTTATGGCAGCCTAAGCTAGCTAATACAGCTATTACCTCTAAACCATTCTCTGTCTTACCGCCAGAATGATTTTTCTAATACACAAATCTGATTATATATCATTTCCTTAAAATTCTTATAGGGTTTCTTCAGTTACTCAGTCATTCAGCAAATATGTATTAACTCCCACGTGTGCCAGGTAACATTTTAGATGCTGGAATTATAGGGATAAAAGCTCTGTGAGATTTAGCCTTTTTGGAGTACAGCCTTTGGGGAAGATAGTCATTAAATAAAAAATTAAATTAATTGTATGATTACAAGTGTGCAGAGTAGCCTTACCTTCAGGATTAAACCCCCCTTCTTTAGCATTACCTCCTTAATGAACTGACCTCTCAGTAACTCATCTCTTCGCAGTTTTTTTTCTCCTACCCTCTACGTTAGCCTTTCTGAACTACTAGCATTCGCCCCCATGCTTTTTGTATCTTCAAACAAGCAACTCTTTCTGCTTTTCCTGCTCTTACTCTATTTAGGTCCTAGATCTCCTCTAAACTTCCGCTTAGATTTTGCTTCTTAAAAGCCTTTCCTGACTCAGTACCTGACTAGTAATAGGCACATAATAAATATTTGTTAATCCATTTGTTAATTGACTACCTCTATTATATAGCACTTAATGGTATGGTATGTGTTACAGGTGTCTATTATACCTGAGCACGGTGTCTCACGTCTGTAATCCCAGCACTGTGGGAGGCCGAGGGGGGCAGATCACCTGAGGTCGGGAGTTCAAAACCAGCCTGACCAACATGGAGAAACCCTGTCTCTACTAAAAATACAAAATTAGCTGGGCATGGTGGCGCATACCTGTAATCTCAGCTACTCAGGAGGCTGAGGCAGGAGAATCGCTTGAACACGGGAGGTGGAGGTTGCAGTGAGCCGAGATCACACCATTGCCCTCCAGCCTGGGCAACAAGAGCGAAACTCCATCTCAAAAAAAAAAAAAAAAAAAATTAAGCACTGCAAATTGCAAATTTAGCATCTTAGGGCAACAACAATCATTTCTTCTGCTTACAAACAGAAATTTGGTTAGAACTTAGCCAGGACCACACAGTCTCAGCGGTGGTAGCTCAGAGGCTGGAATCACTACAGCCAGGGCTACAGTCATTTCAAAGTTTGCTCAGTTATATGTCTGGCAGTTGGTCCTAGCAGTTGACTGAGTCATTGGGGTTACCAACCAGAACAACTACATGGGAGCTCCTATGTATCTGCTTGGTTCCTCTCAGTGTGTTGGATGGGCATACAACTGAGTATTGCAAGAGCCGGGAAACTGCCAGTTTCTTAAGACCTGGGCTAGGAAATAAGCACAGCATCATTTCAGTCATGTTCTTTTGGACAGGCAGTCACAGCATCTACACTTAAGGGAAGAGGAAATAAAATTTACCTCTTGGTGGAAAGAGTGTCAAAGAATTTTGGGGTCATACTTAAAAGCTACCACAATATTGTAACTTTTTAATTGTATAAGCATTAGTCTGAATCATTTTTCCCTGTTTCTGGGCTCTTCACGGTAGATATTCCATAAATGTTTGTTAAATGCAGTAAATAAATAAAATTTATTATGATTAAAATGGCAAACCTCCATTACTGGCCATGAGAGAGTAACAGGATCCAGACTTACCTTTTTACAATAAGCAAATAAGACACTGGACAAAATATATGGAATGATTTCAAACATGGGAAAACAGGCAGCACTGGACTATGATTTCAAGAAGAAAGGAAGCATATGCAGTGAGCCCAATGATTACAATAGCGTTCTGCCTGGAATCAGTTTCTAGGCTGTGGCACAGGGAGGTGGAGCCCCAAAAGAACCCAAAGGTGTTATTGCATTGAAGAGACAAAAATCAAAGTTTGAGGAGGCCAAGAGACTAGAATTTGGAGGGCAATATATTAGGAGGGTGCTATGCAGGGAAGAGCTTCAGAAATCTGCACAAGGGGCCGGGTGTGGTGGCTCACGCCTGTAATCCCAGCACTTTGGGAGGCTGAGGCGGGTGGATTGCCTGAGGTCAGGAGTTGGAGACCAGCCTGGCCAACATAGTGAAACCCCGTCTCTACTAAAAATGAAATAAATTAGCTGGGCGTGGTCGCAGGTGCCTGTCATCCCAGCTACTTGGGAGGCTGAGGCAGGAGAATTGCTTGAACCCGGGAGGCAGAGGTTTAGTGAGCCAAGATCACGCCATTGCACTCCAGCCTAAGCAACAAGAGCGAAACTCCATTTCAAAAAAAAGAAAGAAGTCTGCACAAGTGTTCCCCTTGCGGCTTTGAATGCTAATCTAGTCATGGGTACGGTAAAGCTCTACAAGTTTGGGCAAAGCACTTTTAGGCAAAGACCTACTACCAGGGAAGCAAAATCTGAAAAATCCCAAGAGTTCATACAAGTCAGGGAATCATTTCAGTTCTCAAAGCCAAAAGGAAGAAAATTACTTGAATACACTGAGTGTTAAGTAAATACCCCAAGAGGCTAATGTCTTAGTAGTGGGGAATGGCCTGACATGGAAGTCTACCTCTGCCTTTGCTCTAAAAAAGCTTAAAGAGTAAACTCTTGAAAAGTAAGCTGGGCAACATAAATCAGGGGCAGAACAAAGTATGAAACTCTTAACAGGAATACATATATTTACGGCACTCAAAAATATAAAATTCTTCAATGGCCAGACTCCAATAAAATATTACTGAACACATAAAGGAGTAGGAAAACGTGGCTAATAACCAGTAGGGCAATCAGTCCATGGAAACAGACCCGGAAATTAAAGAGATGATTGAATTAACATAAGAATGTTTAAAGAGTTCTAACTGTGATCAACATGCTCAAGGGCTTACAAAAAGATGAATATAATGGGGAGAGAAATAAAACGCATCAAAAAAGAAGCAAATGGCAATTCTAGAGATTAAAATTACACTATCTGACATAAAACTTCCACTAGATAGAATTAAGGGGAGTTTAGCCGGGCGCGGTGGCTCACGTCTGTAATCCCAACACTTTGGGAGGCCGAGGCGGGTGGATCACGAGGTCAGGAGATCGAGACCATCCTGGCTAACATGGTGAAACCCCATCTCTACTAAAAATAAAAATAAAAATAATTAGCCGGGTGCGGTGGCGGGCACCTGTAGTCCCAGCTACTCAGGAGGCTGAGGCACGAGAATGGCGTGAACCTGGGAGACGGAGCTTGCAGTGAGCCGAGATCGTGCCACTGCACTCCAGCCTGGGCGACAGAGCAAGACTCCATCTCAAAAAAAATAAAAATAAAAATCATTTTAAAAAAAGAATTAATGGGAGTTTAGACACTACAGTAGAAAAAATAAGTGAACCTGAAGACACAGCAACGGAAACTATACAAAATTGAAGCACATAGAAGAGAAAGACTGAAAAATAAAAAATCTCAATGACCTATAGAAAAATATAAAGCAGTATAGCATATGGGTAATTGGAGTTCCATAGAAAGTAATAAAGAGGGGTGGGGAGGGCCGGGTGCGGTGGCTCACGCCTGTAATCCCAGCACTTTGGGAGGCCGAGGCGAGCGGATCACCTGAGGTTGGGAGTTCAATACCAGCCTGACCAACATGGAGAAACCTCGTCTCTACTAAAAATACAAAATTAGCCTGGCATAGTGGCGCATGCCTGTAATCCCAGCTACTCAGGAGACTGAGGCAGGAGAATTGCTTGAACCCTGGAAGGCAGAGTTTACGGGGAGCCGAGATCGCGCCAAGCCGAGACCACGCCATTGCACTCCAGCCTGGGCAACAAGAGTGAAACTCCGTCTCAAAAAAAACCCCAAAATTTCTCAAATTTAATGAAAACTATATTCTTACAAATCTGAGACTGTAAGTGAACCCGAGTCATAATAAATAACAACAACAAAAATGGCACTAAGGCACAGCATGATCAAATTACTGAAAATCACTGATAATGATAAAATAGTAAAAGCATCCAGAAAACAAAAAGACACATTATACATAGAGGAATAAAGATAAGAATTACCGTAGACTCCTAATAAAATTGCCAAAATTTTTTAAAAGATAGTGGATAGTACCTTTAAAGTCCTGAAATTTAAAAATTGTCAATGTAGAATTTTATGTCAGCAAAAATCTTTTTCAAAATGAAGTTGAAATAAAGTGACTTGAGCATCTGTAGATTTTGGTATCTGCTTGGGGGTCCTGGGGCCACATCCCCTGCATACAAAAAAGGCTGAAAGAACTCATCATCAGCAACCTACACAAAAAGAAATGTTCAAACAAACAAACAAAAATCCAAAATTCTTCAGGCTATAGAAATATGGGGTCACTTGGAGATTTGAATCTAAAAAACAAAATGAAAATCATCTGAATGGTCATGTGAGAGTAAATATAAAAGACACTTCTTTCTCATTTTAAAATATATTTAAAAACAAAAATAATTGTATTATGGGGTTTATAGCATAGGCAAAAGTAAAATATATCAAAATAATATCACAAAAGATAGGAGAAGACAAATAGAAATATAATACTGGAAGAGTTCTTACATTATACATGCAATGGTATAAATATTATTTGAAAGTAGACTATGATAAGTTAAAAATGCATACTCTAACCTTTAGAGCAATACCCCCCAAAAGAAAATCAAACAAAAGGATATAGAGAGACAATGGTGGAAATATATAAAAATTTTTAAATTCACATAATTCAAAAAAAGGCAGCAAATGAGGACAAGAAGAAAAAAGAACAGAATAGACAAATAGAAAACAAAAGTAAGAAGATAGATTTTGACCTAGTCATTAATAATCATATTAAATACAAAAGATCTAAACTGCAATTAAAGGGCAGGAATTGTCAGTCTATTTTTTAAAAACAAGACCCAACTGTATGATGTGTATAAGAAAGTTATTTTAAAAATAAAAACATAGAGAATATAACAATTTTATACATTTTTGCATATAATAACAGAGCTTCAAAGTACATGAAACAAAATGATGAATTTTGAGGAAAAATAAACAACTACATCATATAGTTGAAATTTTAACTTCCCTGTCTCAATATTGACAGGACAAGTAGGGGAAAATCAGTAAGGCTATAAAGACTCGAACAGTACTAACAACAAGCTTGATTTAATGGAACTTGTTAGAATACTACATCCAATAAAGGCTGCATATACATTATTTTCCAGTGTACATGAGGTATTTATCAAGACAGATCATAGTCTGGGATATAAAACAAATCTCAATAAATCTAAAAACATTCAAGTCATACAAAGTATGTTCTCTGTCTAAAATGGAGTTAAATTAAAAGTATGTAGCAAGAGGCTAGTTGAAAGTCTCCAAATATTGGAAACAAATTAACATACTAATTAACATTTGGAAACTAAATAACTAATTTACTAATCCAGGGTCAAAGAGAAATAAAAATGAAAATTGAAAAGTATTTTAAATAGAATACAAATGAAAACACAGCATAACAAAATTTGTGGAAAGCAAGTAAAGCAGTATTTACAGAGATATTTATAGTATAAATTAGCACTTATGTTAGAAAAGAAGAAAAGTCTCAAATCAATGATCTCAGCTTTTACCTTAAAAAAATAGAAAAAGTAGCAAATGAAACCCAAAGTACACAGAAGAAAGGCAGTAATAAACATCAGAATGGAAATCAATGAGAAATAAGACACAAATAGAGAAAATAAAAGAAACTAAAGCCAGTTTTTTGGGGAGGTTAATAAATTGATAAAACTATAACCAGACTAATTAGGGGGGAAAAAAAGAAAAGTCACAAACTGTCAACTTGCAAAATGAGAGAAGTGGCATCACTACAGATGCTATAGATGTTAACAGGATAATAAGAAAATATTATGACCAATTTTAGACCCATAAACTGGACAACACGGAGGAAATGGCAAATCCCTTCAGTGGCATGAACTAATAAAGCTCACTGAAGAAATATTTATTTATTTGTATGGTTTTTTTTTTTGTAGAGATGGGGTCTCGCTATGTTGCCCAGGCTGGTCTCAAACTCCTGGCCTCAAACGATTCTCTTTCCTTGGCCTCCCAAAGTCCTGGGATTATGGGCGTGAGCCACCGTGCCCAGCCCCAAGAAATATTTAATGTGAAAAGCTCTATTTGAATTTCTTGTTAAAAATTTTCAACAAAGTTAACACCAGGCCTAGATGGCTTCACTGGAAATTTTTAAAAGAGATAGGGTATTTTGGGGAGGGGGAAAGGGTGGGAAGGGGTGATGCTCTATCTTCATTATTTTGACTGTAGTAATGCTTTCGTTACTACATTTTCGACATATATTGGTATATATGCCAATATTTATTTTTAAATATGCACGGATTCTGTATTTGAATTACACCTAAATAAAGCTGTTAAAATTCCCAGAAATTATATCCTTTGCAACTGTTTAGGGTTATGATTTAAAAAAAAAACTGTAGATCACTTAAAAATATGAGAGAAGGTATATGTTTCAAAAAAGCAAAAATGTTTGAAAACCACAGCCTCAGTCAGACCCTTTCCCAGCAGCTAGACTGCAGGCCTGTCCCCAACCCTGTCGCTCTTTTGCTCCTAATGGATATTCTGGAACAGCTGCTCTATCATAGTCTGACGTCTCTTATTTGGAGAAGTTTGAACCAATCTATATAATGTCAGGGTCTATAAATAACCTTTTCATAACAAATAATAGTATGATATAAACTCATCCAATTCACCATAATTCAATTTATGACTTCTTCCACTTTTGCCTTTCACTATTATAAAGATCATGTCTTTTTCTTTTATGAACACCTAGTAACTACCACAGACCAGGTAACTAGATTAGCAACACTTACCAGCTAGTCTGGGATGATGTTGATTCTGCTGACTCAGCAGCTGATACATTGTAAGGATCTTTGAAACTGAAGACCTCACAAAGGAATCTATTCCTTCCCATCATTTACCGTTCAAAGATTTTTCAGAATAGATGACTCCAGCTTTGAAGGCAATTCAACATTTAGCACAATGAAAAATGCATATGCTTACTCTATATGCATATACATATTTACAAAATGAAATTTACATATTTACAAAGGGAAAAAAGTTATTTTCATTCTAAAATTCCCTGGACTATATCTGTGCCAATGTAGAAAATATTCCCCAAAGGAGCGTTTAAAATACTACTTTTTATACTGTTTTTAGTCTTACATAATTAATATTCAAAATCGCATATGCGTCTGTTTTGTTTTATTTTCATAATCAATTTTGTAAGGTATGAAATTGTTCTTTAAGAATGAAGTTCTTATTTACAATAATATACCTACAGAACAGAAGGATTTTACTTACAAAGTCTTGACTTTCAACTGTCAGCCTAGAACCAAATTTGCACGATTGATTCCGTTCTAAAGGAGATTATAGATAAGCTCTAAAGGAACTTCCTTGTCTCTCAGTTTTCACATCAATACAAAAAAATAAGGAGATTGGGTTAAATGAATTCCAATATTCCTTCCAAACCACAATGCTCAACTTATCATTCCCAGATCAGTCCTCTGTGTTCATAGGTTTCTTGCTCTTCATGTTTCAGTTCTCGTTCCCTTTCTTTGTATTTGTTTCCACTACAGCTCACTTCTGCTACTTTTTTTTTTTTTTAATTTGAGACTCAGTCTTGCTCTATTGCCCAGGCTGGAGTGCAGTAGCACAATCTCGGCTCACTGCAATCTCTGCCTCCCGGTTTCAAGCAATTCTCCTGCCTCGGCCTCCTGAGCAGCTGGGACTACAGGCGCCCGCCACCATGCCTGGCTAATTTTTGTGTTTTTAGTAGAGACGGGGTTTCGCCATATAGGCCAGGCTGGGCTCGAACTCTTGACCTCAAATGATCCACCCACCTCGGCCTCACAAAGTGCTGGGATTACAGGCGTGAGCCACCACGCCTGGCCTTCTGCTACATTTCACAAGTGTTCTCCCAAATGCACCAGCTTTCTTCCTCACATTCCTTCCTATTGCGATGCCTACAAATAGAAAAACTGGTGAAATTTTAAAGTGTTTTTTTTCCTCTGAAATTAATGCTATCACTTCTCTGAAATTAATGCTATCACTTCTCTCTAGTGGTATCATTGCTCTCATCCTGTTGTAGTAACCACACCATGCCTAGTCAAATTCTATCATGATGTGCTAAGAACATACACATTACAGATTACTAACATCATTAACCCTGTCACTGTCACAAACACAAATCATGACTTGATTTCAAGATTTGTTATAAAGCGGCTGACTCTCTGTTTGGACTCAGCCCACCTGCACCCAGGTGAAATAAACAGCCATGTTGCTCACACAAAGCCTGTTTGGTGGTCTCTTCACACGGACGCACATGAAATTTGGTGTCGTGACTCGGATCGGGGGACCTCCCTTGGGAGATCAATCCCCTGTCCTCCTGCTCTTTGCTCTGTGAGAAAGATCCACCTACGACCTCAGGTCCTCAGACCGACCAGCCCAAGAAACATCTCACCAATTTCAAATCCAGTAAGCGGCCTCTTTTTACTCTCTTCTCCAACTTCCCTCACTATCCCTCAACCTCTTTCTCCTTTCAATCTTGGCGCTACACTTCAATCTCTCCCTTCTCTTAATTTCAATTCCTTTCATTTTCTGGTAGAGACAAAAGAGACACGTTTTATCCGTGGACCCAAAACTCCGGCGCCGGTCACGGACTGGGAAGGCAGCCTTCCCTTGGTGTTTAATCATTGCAGGGACGCCTCTGTGATTATACACCCACGTTTCAAGGGTGTCAGACCACGCAGGGACACCTGCCTTGGTCCTTCACCCTTAGCGGCAAGTCCTGCTTTTCTGGGGAAGGGGCAAGTACCCCAACCCCTTCTCTCCTTGTCTCTACCCCTTCTCTGCCTTTCCTGGGGCAGGGGCAAGTACCCCTCAACCCCTTCTCCTTCACCCTTAGAGGCAAGTCCCGCTTTCCTAGGGGCAAGAACCTCCCAATCGCTTATTTCCGCACCCCAACCTCTTATCTCTGTGCCCCAATCCCTTATTTCCGTGCCCCAACCCTTTCTCTGCTTTTCTGGAGGGCAAGAACTCCCCACCCCTTCTCCATGTCTCTACTCTTTTCTCTGGGCTTGCCTCCTTCACTATGGGTAGGCTTCCACCTTCCATTCCTCCTTGTTCTCCCTTAGCCTGTGTTCTCAAAAACTTAAAACCTCTTCAACTCACACCTGACCTAAAACCTAAATGCCTTATTTTCTTCTGCAATGCCGCTTGACCCCAATACAAACTCGACAGTAGTTCCAAATAGCTGGAAAACGGCGCTTTCAATTTTTCCATCCTACAAGATCTAAATAATTCTTGTCGTAAAATGGGCAAATGGTCTGAGGTGCCTGACGTCCAGGCATTCTTTTACACATCAGTCCCTTCCTAGTCTCTGTGCCCCGTGCAACTCGTCCCAAATCTTCCTTCTTTCCCTCCCTCCTGTCCCCTCAGTCCCAACCCCAAGCGGCGCTGAGTCTTTCTAATCTTCCTCTTCTACAGACCCATCTGACCTCTCCCCTCCGCGCCAGCCCAAGCTAGGTCCCAATTCTTCCTCAGCCTCCGCGCCTCCCCCCCCTTCATCCCACACCTGGTCCGACTTACAGTTTCATTCTGTGACTAGCCCTCCCCCACCTGCCCAGCAATTTACTCTTAAAAAGGTGGCTGGAGCCAAAGGCATAGTCAGGGTTAATGCTCCTTTTTCTTTATCCCAAATCACATAGCGTTTAGGCTCTTTTTCATCAAATATAAAAACCCAGCCCAGTTCATGGCTCGTTCGGCAGCAACCCTGAGACGCTTTACAGCCCTAGACCCTAAAAGGTCAAAAGGCCATCTTATTCTCAATATACATTTTATTACCCGATCTGCTCCCGACATTAAATAAAACTCCAAAAATTAAATTCCGGCCCTCAAACCCCACAACAGGATTTAATTAACCTTGCCTTCAAGGTGTACAATAATAGAAAAAAGTTGCAATTCCTTGGCTCCACTGTGAGACAAACCCCAGCCACATCTCCAGCATACAAGAACTTCCAAATGCCTGAACCGCAGCGGCTAGGCGTTCTTCTAGAACCTCCTCCCCCAGGAGCTTGCTACAAGTGCCAGAAATCTGACCACCAGGGCAAGGAATGCCTGCAGCCCAGGATTCCTCCTAAGCCGTGTCCCATCTGTGCGGGACCCTACTGGAAATTAGACTGTTCAACTCACCTGGCAGCCACTCCCCGAGCCCCTGCAACTCTGGCCCAAGGCTCTCTGACTGACTCCTTCTCGGCTTAGCGGCTGAAGACTGATGCTGCCCGATCGCCTCGGAAGCCCCATAGGCCATCACGGACGCCGAGCTTTGAGTAACTCTCAGAGTGGAAGCTGCAGAGTGACCCGGTTTTATAGATAAAGGGTGCCAGTCTGCCGAATGCCTGCGATTGCAGGCACGCGCCGCCACGCCTGACTGGTTTTGGTGGAAACGGGGTTTCGCTGTGTTGGCCGGGCCGGTCTCCAGCCCCTAACCGCGAGTGATCCGCCAACCTCGAGGTGCCGGGATTGCAGACGGAGTCTCGTTCACTCAGTGCTCAATGGTGCCCAGGCTGGAGTGCAGTGGCGTGATCTCGGCTCACTACAACCTACACCTCCCAGCCGCCTGCCTTGGCCTCCCAAAGTGCCGAGATTGCAGCCTCTGCCCGGCCGCCACACCGTCTGGGAAGTGAGGAGTGTCTCTGCCTGGCCGCCCATCGTCTGGGATGTGAGGAGCCCCTCTGCCTGGCTGCCCAGTCTGGAAAGTGAGGAGCGTCTCCGCCCGGCCGCCATCCCATCTAGGAAGTGAGGAGCGCCTCTTCCCAGCCGCCATCACATCTAGGAAGTGAGGAGCGTCTCTGCCCCGCCGCCCATCGTCTGAGATGTGGGGAGCGCCTCTGCCCCGCCGCCCCATCAGGGATGTGAGGAGCGCCTCTGCCCGGCCGAGACCCCGTCTGGGAGGTGAGGAGCGTCTCTGCCCGGCTGCCCCGTCTGAGAAGTGAGGAGCCCCTCCGCCCGGCAGCTGCCCCGTCTGAGAAGTGAGGAGCCTCTCCGCCCAGCAGCCACCCCATCTGGGAAGTGAGGAGCATCTCCGCCGGGCAGCCACCCCGTCCGGGAGGGAGGTGGGGGGGGGGTCAGCCCCCCGCCCGGCCAGCCGCCCCATCCGGGAGGGAGGTGGGGGGTCAGCCCCCCCGCCCGGCCAGCCGTGCCGTCCGGGAGGGAGGTGGGGGGGTCAGCCCCCCGCCCGGCCAGCCGCCCCGTCCGGGAGGTGAGGGGCGCCTCTGCCCGGCCGCCCCTACTGGGAAGTGAGGAGCCCCTCTGCCCAGCCAGCCGCCCCGTCCGGGAGGGAGGTGGGGGGGTCAGCCCCCCGCCCGGCCAGCCGCCCCGTCCGGGAGGGAGGTGGGGGGGTCAGCCCCCCTGCCCGGCCAGCCGCCCCGTCCGGGAGGTGAGGGGCGCCTCTGCCCGGCCGCCCCTACTGGGAAGTGAGGAGCCCCTCTGCCCGGCCACCATCCCGTCTGGGAGGTGTGCCCAACAGCTCATTGAGAACGGGCCAGGATGACAATGGCGGCTTTGTGGAATAGAAAGGCGGGAAAGGTGGGGAAAAGATTGAGAAATCGGATGGTTGCCGTGTCTGTGTAGAAAGAAGTAGACATGGGAGACTTTTCATTTTGTTCTGCACTAAGAAAAATTCCTCTGCCTTGGGATCCTGTTGATCTGTGACCTTACCCCCAACCCTCTCTCTGAAACATGTGCTGTGTCCACTCAGAGTTAAATGGATTAAGGGCGGTGCAAGATGTGCTTTGTTAAACAGATGCTTGAAGGCAGCATGCTCGTTAAGAGTCATCAACAATCCCTAATCTCAAGTAATCAGGGACACAAACACTGCGGAAGGCCGCAGGGTCCTCTGCCTAGGAAAACCAGAGACCTTTGTTCACTTGTTTATCTGCTGACCTTCCCTCCACTATTGTCCCATGACCCTGCCAAATCCCCCTCTGTGAGAAACACCCAAGAATTATCAATAAAATAATAAATTAAAAAAAAAAAAAAGATTTGTTATAAAGCTATGGCAATCAAGACAACATGGTACTGGCATAAAGACAGACAAGAAGATCAGTAGAACAGAATAGACCTAACAGAAATATATTCATACGTAAATGGACAACTGATTTTTGACAAGGTAAAGAAGCAATTCAGCAGAGAAAAGATAGGTTTTCAACAAATGGCCCTGGAACACTTGGATATTTATAAGCAAAAATATGAACCTCATTTCATACCTTGTATCATATACAAAAATTAACTCAAAATGGATCATAGACCCAAATAAAAACCTCAAATATTAAATTTCCAGAAGAAAATAGTACAAAACCTTTGTTACCTTGGGTTAGGCAATAATTTCCTAGATATAACAATACAAACTCAATCCTTCAAAGAAAAAAATTGACAAACAGAACTTCATCGAAATTAATAACTTCTGCCCTGTGAAAAGTACTGTCAAGAAAATTCTCCCACTGGCTCATGCCTGGAATCACAGCACTTTAGTGGGAGGATTGCTTGAGCTCAGGAATTCAAGACTGGCCTGGGCAACACAGTGAGACTCTGTTTCTAAAAAAATAAATAAATAAAAATTCTCCCATGAACTGGGAAAAAATATTTGCAAATCATATATCTGATAAAAGATTTTTACCTAGAAAATATATAGTAGTCTCAAAACTTAATAATTAAAGAAAGCAATTAATACACCACAAAATTCAGCAACAGGCAGAGTTGTGGTGGCTCACTCCTGTAAATCCCAGCGCTTTGGGAGGCCAAGGTGGGCAGATCACGAAGTCAGGAGTTCGAGACCAGCCTGGCCAACATGGCGAAACCCCATCTCCACTAAAAATACAAAAAAATTAGCCAGGTGTCGTAGCAGGCACCTGTAATCCCAGCTATTTGGGAGGCTGAGACAGGATAATCGCTTGAACCTGGGAGGCAGAGGTTGCAGTGAGCCGAGACCACACCACTGCACTCCAGCCTGAGCAACACAGCGAGACACTGTCTCAAAAAAAAAAATTAGCTGGGTATGGTAGCTTGCACCTGTAATCCCAGCTACTTGGGAGGCTGAGAGAGGAGAATCGCTTGAACCCGGGAGGCAGAGGTTGCAGTGAGCGGAGACCACACCATTGCACTCCAGCCTGGGCAACAGAGCGAGACTCTGTCTCAAAAAAAAAAAAAATTAGCTGGGTATGGTGGCTTGCACCTGTAATCCCAGCTACTTGGGAGGCTGAGACACGAGAATCACTTGAACCCGGGAGATGGAACTGAGATCGTGCCACTGCACGCCAGCCTGGGTGACAGAGTGAGACCCTGTCTAAAAAAAAAAAAAAAAGAAAGAAAAAAAAATTGGGCAGATTTGAACAGTAACTATACCAAGGAAAATATACAACTGACAAATAAGCACATGAAAAGCAACAGCATAATTAGTCATTAGGGAAGTGAAAATTAAAACCACAATGAAATAATACACCTATTAGAATGTCTAAAATTTCGAAGACTGACTACACCAAGTGTTGACTAGGATGTGGAGCAACTGAAACTCTCCTACACAGCTGATGGGAATGTAAAATGGTGCAACCACTTTAGAAAAACTGGAAAAATTTGAGAAGTGCATGTATGTGCTAGCTGTTTCCTTTCACCTCTTACTCTTAAGGGCAAGATGGGTCTCCAGCAGCTATACTAGAGCCACCTGTGAAACTGGCCAGGGTTCTTGCTCAAACCAGCATGATGTGATCCAAAAATACAGCTTCAATATGTTCCCCAGTATGCAAAGGATATAGGTTTCATTAAGTTGTACTAAGGGAACTTCCTTGAATGGATTATCCAGGTCATCCATCCCATGAAAGAAACCATGCTAACTCTTTGTGCAAAAAGTAAAAAATTTGTAAATCTCTTTAAAAAATTAGAAAACAGGCCAGGTGCGGTGGCTCATGCCTGTAATCCCAGCACTTTGGGAGGCCGAGGCAGGTGAATCACGAGGTCAGGAGATCGAGACCATCCTGGCTAACATGGCGAAACACCATCTCTACTAAAAATACAAAAAATTAGCCAGGCATGGTTGACGGCGCCTGTAATCCCAGCTACTCGGGAGGCTGAGGCAGAAGAATGGGTGAACCTGGAAGGCGGAGCTTGCAGTGAGCAGAGATCGCACCACTGCACTCCAGCCTGGATGACAGAGCGAGACTCCGTCTCAAAAAAAAAAAAAGTTAGAAAACAGTGTGGTTTCTTAAAAAGTTAGGCATACACTTACTATGTTACTCAGTCGTTCTGTGTTTCAGTATTTACCTAAAAGAAATGAAGGCGTATCTTTTTTTTTTTTTTTAAGATAGGGTATTGCTATGTTGCCCAGCCTGGCCTCAAATTCCTGGCCTCAAGCTATCCTCTAACCCTGGCCTCTCAAAGTGCTGGGACTATATGCATGAGCCACTATGCCCAGCTTGAAAGCATATCTTTATATAGGCTGGTACACAAATGTTCATGGATCCTTTATTTGTAACTGGAAAAAAACCCAAATGCTTTTGGTGAATGAATGGATAAACAAATTGTAGGATATCCATACGATGGAATAACTGCTCAGCAATAAAACAAAATAAACTGTTAATCTATGCACACATATGGATGAATCTCTATTTCAGGATCAGCAATATAATGTGTGGGGCCCAGTGCAAAAGGAAAATGTAGGTCTTCTTGTTCACAAAGCATTAAGAACTTCAAAAACAAAGACAGTGGAGCATTCAAAAAACCAGGGAGGCTTTCTCTTTTTTTTTTTCCTGAGACAGAGTCTCACTCTCTCACCCAGTCTGGAGTGCAGTGGTGCTATCTCGGCTCACTGCAAGCTCCACCTCCTGGGTTGAAGGGATTCTCCTGCCTCAGCCTCCCATGTAGCTGGGACTACAGGCGTGTGCCACCACACCCGGCTAATTTTTTGTATTTTTAGTAGAGACGGGATTTCATCGTGTTAGCCAGGATGGTCTCGATTTCCTGACCTCGTGATCTTCCTGCCTTGGCCTCCCAAAGTGCTGGGATTACAGTCATGAGGCACTGTGCCCAGCCCAAACAAGCACAGAGCCCTTGTCAGTGCAAGACTCTATGGACTACACAGATCACATGCCCATGGGCCAGCCAAGGACCAGCTCAGAGTAATTACCCCAAGTGAACAAAAAAACAAAGTCAACAAAGAGTACGTCTTGTATGATTCTATTTATACAACCTTCTTGCAAATGCAAACTACTCTGCAGTGATAGAAAGCAGATGAGTGGTTGCCAGGGGAGGAGGTGGGGATTACAAAAGGGCAGGAGGACACTTTTCCAGGTGATGGATATGTTCTCTGTCTTGATTGTGGTGAAAGTTTCACAGAGGACACATTCGTCAAAACTTATTAAATGGTATACTTTAAATATATGCAGTTTGTTCTATGTCATTTATAACTCCACAAAGCTGTTCAAAATTGCAAAACACTAATGGGTTTTTGAGAAGGATTTTTAAAAATATAGTTTGTGATCTCTCATATGCATTTCTTCTTCATAGACAAAACATACACAAGTGTAAATTAAGGAAAAGCAGAAAATGATATACAATTAAATGCCAAAAGAAACGATACATTATCACTACAAACTATTGGTATCACTACAAACTATTTGTGTCACTACAAACTGTTGGAAAAGCAGAAAATGATGTACAATGAAATGCCAAAAGAAACGACACATTATCACTACAAACTGTTGGAGAATTTAATGTACATTTAAGTGGTCAGGGAAAGACACTTAAAAGAATTGGGATTTGAAACATCTTTGAAGAATGAATGAGATTTTCAAAACATTCTTGTTTGTATAAGGGAAAACAGCAGCTTGGGGAGCAGTTGGGAAGGGAAAACAACAGGTTAGGGAGGGTGAACAGAAAGGAGATTTGGATTAAAGTCTCTCTAGGTCACTTTTTGGACAGGGAACAGACCTGCCTGGCTGGATCAGAGGATTTCCATGGCATGGACTAGGAGGTAATATTCCATTGGCCTCTATGGGCTTAGGTTATAAAAGAGAGCTCTCAATGCCTTTGTTCTAAAGGCAAGGGCTATTCCTTAGACTGGGAAAATAATATGATGTTTTGAGAAGTAAAATAAAGTTATATATGAGGTGCCATTCCAAACCTTATTTGCCCTCAGGACACCTTACCCTCAGTGGAGCTACCTACCTCAACTTTCTTTTCCCTACCTCAAAATATCTCTATCTCCATTTTCTTTATTCCTGTCTGAGAAAGAAGGATTTTTTTCTCTTTTTGAAATCTAATCCAGCCAGGTGTGGTGGCTCATGCCTGTAATCCTAACACTTTGGGAGGGCGAGGCAGGTGGATCACCTGAGATCAGGAATTTGAGACCAATCTGGCCAACATGGCAAAAACCCATCTCTACTAAAAATACAAAAATTAGCTGGATGTGGTGGTGGGTGCCTGGAATCCCAGCTAATCGGGAGAATCGCTGGACCCATGAGGCAGATGTTGCAGTGAGCCGAGATCATGCCACTGCACTCCAGCCTTGGAGACGAGTGAGACTTCGTGTCAAAAACAAAAACAAAAACAAAACCCTAATCTTTTCATCCATCTTCTTAATCCCTCATCATTCCACTGTCGGAGCCATCTTGCTTCATAAAATAGCCCATTCCAAATAGATAATCAATCTCTCCCTCTTTCATGACACCTTCGGCAAATAAAAAACAACGAATAAAATCTTATTTTCATTCTCTTGTTATCTTAATATATCTCCTTATTCATGTCTTTTGCAGCAACTTGGATGGAGCTGGAGGCCATTATTCTAAGTGAAGCAACCCAGGAATGGAAAACCAAATACCATATATTCTCACTCATCATTGGGAGCTAAGCTATAGGTATGCAAAGGCACACAGAGTGGTGTAGTGAACAGTGGAGACTCAGAAGCAGGGAGGTGGGGAGGGCGTTGAGGGATTAAAAAAAACTACATATTGGGTACAACGTACACTACTCAGGTGACAGGTGCACTAAAATCTCAGACTTCACCACTATATGCTTCATTCATGAAACCAGAAACCACTTGTACCCCAAAAGCTAATTTTATTTTATTTTATTTATTTGTTTATTTATTTTTGAGACGGAGTCTCGCTTGTCTCCCAGTCTCAGCTCACTGCAAGCTCCGCCTTCCGGGTTCACGTCATTCTCCTGCCTCAGCCTCCCGAGTAGCAGGAATTACAGGCCCCCGCCACCACGCCCAGCTAATTTTTTGTATTTTTAGTAGAGACGGGGTTTCAGTGTGTTAGCCAGGATGGTCTCGATCTCCCGACCTCATGATCCGCCCGCCTAGGCCTCCCAAAGTGCTGGGATTACAGGCGTGAGCCACTGCGCCCGGTCCTTTATTTTATTTTTTTAAGATATCTCCTTATTCATCCTGCTCTTCAGCTGAAACTGAAGTTCTCCTCACCATCCACTTTCCAACGACTATTGCCACCCACCCAGTTCTGGTCTTTCTTACTTATCTCCTAGACTACAGCTCTCATTTCTTGCATCCCCTCATACCAATTTATTTGATACACTGCTGCAAAATTAATTGTTTTTTTGAGACAGAGTCTCACTCTGTCACCCAGGCTGGAGTGCAGTGGTGCCATCTCCGCTCATTGCAACCTCTCCTTCCTAGATTCAAGCGATTCTCCCGCCTCAGCCTCCTGAGTAGCTGGGATTATAGGTGCACGCCATCACGCTTCACTAATTTTTGTATTTTTAGTAAAGACGGGGTTTCCCATGTTGGCCAGGCTGGTCTTGAATCCCTGACCTCAGGTGATCTGCCCACCTCAGCCTCCCAAAGTGCTGAGATTATAGGGGTGACCCACAGCGCCCGGCCCAAATTAATCTTTGAGAACAGAGTTTCTTCGCTGTGGTTTTCATACTGAAAATCTTTAGAAGCTCATACTGCCTTTTAAAATAGAGTGGTTCTCCCTGTGTATCTATTTTATCCTTCTTCTCTAATACCTCTAACATTTCGTTAATCTGCACGACTCACTTCTCCTCAAACTTGTTTGTTTTTCCCGCCCCCGTGTTCATGATCAGCTCTCAGCCTGCAATACCCTCTGCGATTTGTTGAAATCATACTTATTCTTTAAGCATTTAAAAGTGATTTCTTGCATGAGTCATTGTCTGATTCTCCAAACAAATTACATTTTTCGACAGCTCTTTAGCTCCCAAAGCACTTTGTAATCCTCTTTCCAAATTTATTATATTCTGCAATTCATAATAGAACACGGGCTTTGGAGTCAGTGGTCCTTCAAAATCACCGCCCATTGGCTGAGAAGCTTGGGCAAGTTTCTTAACTTCTCCAGGCTTCAATGAGCTCATTTGTAAAATGTGGATAGTAATACCTGAAAAGATTGTGTGGATTAAATCAGCTGAAGTGTCTGGCACATGAGAGGTGGCATGTTAATAACATATCTTAGAATATATTAATTTGTATGAAATTCTTATCCATTTTATAACAATTGTTAGCTTCATGAAAACAGGCTCCATGTTTCACTCATTTTGGTATCACCTATTTCTACATAGTACATGGTAAATTCACATTTTATAGGGACGATTTTATAAATCTGTTGAAATATTATTTATTCTTAGGGCATTTAAAAGTTTATTTTTCAAAATGTTATTACATTGAACTTTGTAACATGCATTACTGTTGTGAAAATGAGTTCTATCTTGTGGCAGATTCGATGCTTTAAAGGAATATTTGGTAGGGAAACTATTAACTGCAAAATACGAAGGCATTCTGCCACAACATTTGGGTTTCATGTTAAACATATCAGTATTATAAATTCTACACGTTAAAATATGTAGTGTTCATGGCATTTATAAATCAATTTTAATAATTTATACTCAACGAAATGAATCTATCTTATGTGTTCAGTATGATGAGATTTTTTTTTTTTTTGAGACGAGTCTCTGTTGCCCAGACCAGAGTTCAGCGGCATGATCTCGGCTCACTGCAACCTCTGCCTGCAGGTTCAAGCGATTCTCATCCCTCAGCCTCCCGAATAGCTGGGACTACAGGCGTGCACCACCACGCCTGGCTAATTTTTGTATTTTTAGTAGAGACGGTGTTTCACCATGTTTGCCATGCTGGTCTCGAACTCTTGACTTCAGATGATCTGCCCACCTCAGCCTCCCAAAGTGCTGGTATTACAGGCATGAACCACTGTACCCGGCCGGTATGATGAGTTGCAACAAATATGTAGAGCTGTGTAACCACCACAATCAACATGGTGAACATTCACACTACTACAAAAGCTTTCCTGTATTTATTCTTAGTCTAGTCTCCCTACAGGAATCCCCAACTTCAGGAAACAACCTTTTTTGTTTTCTGTCCGTTTAGATTAGATTTTGCTTTTCTAGAGTTTTATATAAAAGTAATCATATACTATATAATATTTTGTGTCTGGCTTCTTTTGCTCAGCACAAAGTTAATGAGATTCATTCATGTGCCATGTACAATAGTATGTTCCTTTTTATTGCTGAGTAATATTCCATTGTATGAATACACTACAATTTGTTTATTCATTCACACATTGATGGACACATGAGTTATTTTCAGTTTGAATTACTATTACTAAAGCTGCTATGAACATTTGGTTTCAAGACTTAGTGTAGACATATGTTTTTATTTCTCTTGGTTAAATACCAAGAGTGAAATTACTGGATCATATGCTAAGTAAGTGTATATTGATGTAAGAAATTGCCAAATTATATTCCAAAGCAGTATTCTTTTTAGCCTTGTATGAGAATGCCAATCCCTGCTAACATTTTAAAATATTAGCCACTTGAGTGGTTGTGTGGTGCTATCTCATTGTGGGTTTAATTTGCATTTCCCAAATGACTAATAAGATTCAGCACTTTTGCATGTGCTATTGGGCATTTCTTTTTTACTTTTTTTTTTTGAGATGGAGTTTTGCTCTTGTAGCCCAGGCTGGAGTGCAGTGGTGCCATCTCGGCTCACTGCAACCTCCGCCTCCCAGGTTCAAGTGATTCTCCTGCCTCAGACTCCCAAGTAGCTGGGATTACAGGGGCGTGCCACTACGCCCAGCTAATTTTTGTATTTTTAGTAGAGACGGAGTTTTGCCATGTTGACCAAGGTGGTCTCAAACTCCTGACCTCAGGTGATCCGCCTGCCTTAGCCTCCCCAAATGCTGAGATTACAGGCGTGAGCCACAGTGCCTGGCCGGCTATTGGCCATTTCTATATCTTTGTGAAGTGTGTATTCAAATCTTTTGCTCATTTCAAAAAATTGAATTGTTTTATTAAGTTGTAAGCTTTCATTATATGTTCCAGATACAAATTCCTTGTTAGAGACATCTGTCGTGAATATTTTCACTTTTTTAATGTTGTCTTGAAAACACAGATGTTTCCCATTTTGATGAAGTTCAATCTGTCTTTTATTTCCTTTTTATGATTAGTGCTTTTTTCTACCTCCAAAATCTTCACCTTCCCCAAAGTCACAAAGATTGTTCTGTATTTTCTTAGAAATTATGTAATTATAGCTTCATGATTAGGTCTGTCATTCATTTCAACTTAATATTTATCTATGGTGTGAGGTAAGATTTATTTTTTGATATGGGTATCCAGTCATTTCATTTACTGAAAAGATTATATTTTCCACATGGAAATTACCTTAGCTTCTTATAAAAATCAATTGACCACATACATATGGGTCTATCCCTGGACTTGATTCTGTTTCACTGATTTCTATGTCTCACCTTATGTGTACCACAGTGTGTTGAAAACTAGTTTTATAGTAAGTCTTTAAACCAGATGTATATGTGCTCCAACTTTCTTCTTCCTATGTACCTCTGCATGAATTTTATAGTTAGCTTGTCAAGTTAAAAAAAAATCTGCTGGGATTTGGAGAGAATTGACATTTAACAGTATGGAGTCTTCCAATTCATGAACAGGCAACAGCTATTTATTTAGATCTTTCATTTCTCTCAGCAGAGATTTATAGTTTTGAGCAATGATTTATAATTTTCAGTGTATACGTCTCACACATATTTTGTGAAATTTATGCCTATATAGTTCATGTTTTTGGATGCTGATTAACGTTGTATGGTTTATTTTAAATTTCATTTTCCAGTTGTTCCGTGTACACATGTAGAAAAACAATTGATTTTTGTTATGTTGATCTTGTAGTTCCAGGAGGTTTTTTTTTTTTAGGATTCCTCGAGATTCCTGGGATTTTCTAGGAAACACATTGCTCTCATTTGCAAACAGTTTTACTTCTTTCTTCCCTTTATTTTATTTTTATTCTTTTTCGAAAAGAAGTCTCGCTCTGTCACCCAGGCTGGAGTGCAATGGGGCGATCTCAAATCACTGCAACCTGTGCCTCCTGGGTTCAAGCGATTCTCCTGCCTCAACTCCTGAGTAGCTGGGATTACAGGCGCCCGCCACCATGCCCCGCTAATTTTTGTATTTTTAGTAGAGACGGGGTTTCACCATGTTAGTCAGGCTGGCCTCAAACTCCTGACCTCAAGTGATCTGCCTACCTCGGCCTCCCAAAGTGCTAGGATTACAGGGGTGAGCCACCACACCCAGCCTTCCTTTCCTTTTTTTTTTATTTTTTTGAGACAGAGTCTCACTCTGTCGTCCAGGCTGGAGTGCAACGGGCGATCTCTGCTCACGATTTTTAAAAATTATTTCCACTAAGGAAACTGAGGCATGGATAGGTTACGTTGTCCAAGTTCACACAGCTAATAAAATGGGAGGATTCAGGAATTTGGGGGTTGTATTTCAGTAGGTGCAAGGAATTTCAAAAGGTAATGTCATCAGTTAAGGCAGGAACCGGCCACACTTCTTTAGTGATTCTTCAGTTACTTTAGGCCATCTGGATGTATACGTGCAGGTCACAGGGGATATAATGGCTTAGCTTGGGCTCAGAGGCCTGACACTTGGTAAATAGACACACACACAGACACACAGACACACAGACACACACACACACACACACACACGCTCCGGTAAAATTCACACAAGTGAGGCCGGGTGCGGTGGCTCACGCCTGTAATCCCAGCACTTTGGGAAGCCAAGGCGGGTGGATCACTTGAGGCCAGGAGTTCGGGACCAGCCTGGCAAACGTGGTGAAACCGTCTCTACTAAAAATAACAAAAATTAGCCGGGCGTGGTGGTGCATGACTGTAGTTCCAGCTACTCGGGAGGCTGAGGCAGGAGAATCTCTTGAATCAGGGAGGCGGAGGTTGCAGTGAGCCGAGATCACAACACTGCACTCCAGACTGTAAAAAAAAAAAAAAATAAGAAATGAAAAAGGAAAAAAAAATCACTCAAGTGGGACGGTCTTCTCACTGTTGGAAGACCTGTTGGACTCGCTAGTAAACGGGAAACAGGGCGAAATAGGCGTTTCTTCCCCAGAAGCTCTTAAGAATGAATGAATGTTTGGCCCAGCGCTGTGGCTCAGGCTTGTAATCACAGAACTTTGGAAGGCAGAGGTGGGAAGATTGCTTGAGCTCACGAAATTGCAGTGAGCTATGTTCACGTCACTGCCCTCCAGCCTAGGAGACAGACTGAGACCGCATCTCTAAAAAGAAAAGAATGAGTGGCGGGAAGATCCCGCTCCCTGCCTGCGTATTGAGAAACTGCCTTACAAAAGGCCAGGCAGGGCAGAGCCACGCCAAGTTCAGGTGCGTTCCCTGTGTCCCCACTAAATGCACTCGCAGGGTGCGCATCGCCAGGGCGCAAGGCGTCTGGGCGTCTCTCTATGAAGAGGCGCCCGCAGCTAGCGAGGCGGGTGCACTTTCCTCGGGAGCGGAAACTACAGCGCCGCCTGGAAAGCGTGCCGGGGCTCGCGGGTCCTGGATCCCCAGTGCCAGGGCCAGGCGTTCTGGCCCCCGAGTGGCGCGCGCTCCCAAGGGGCGGGGCGGGGCGGGGGCGTGACGGGCGGTGGCCGGGGGCGTCCGCTCCTCCCCCTCGCGGTCGGTAGAGCTGGCTGCGCCGAGCCCCCTGCGCGCTGCACATGGGGCGCCTGACGGAAGCGGCGGCAGCGGGCAGCGGCTCTCGGGCTGCAGGCTGGGCAGGGTCCCCTCCCACGCTCCTGCCGCTGTCTCCCACGTCCCCCAGGTGCGCGGCCACCATGGCGTCCAGCGACGAGGACGGCACCAACGGCGGCGCCTCGGAGGCCGGCGAGGACCGGGAGGCTCCCGGCGAGCGGAGGCGCCTGGGGGTCTTGGCCACCGCCTGGCTCACCTTCTACGACATCGCCATGACCGCGGGGTACGCGCGCCGCGGGGCACCCTCGGGCCCTCCCCGCGCCGCGGTCCGCGGAGGTTCCGGGTTCAGGGGGCGCGGGCCGGGGTGTAAGGGGCGCGGGGGGTGCGGGCAGCGGCCGTGGGGGAAGGGAGCTGTCGCCGCGGCCACCGCCGGGGTTGAATGGAGCGGGCGGGGGGGCCGGGCCCTGCGCGCCTGGCATTGCCTAATACGGTGCACGGCGGGGCGCTGGCCGGAGGTTAAGTATAGAACCGGGCAGGAATGCGGTGCCGGCCCGCGGGGGAGGTGGCTGCTGCCCCGGCGCCGCTGCCTTCGCTGCTGTTGAAGGAGCGCCCAGCCCTGGCCACTCGATGGTCTCGGGAGCGCAGAGCTTCATGCTGCGATCGCTGGGCAGAGTTTTCGCCCCTGTTAATTTCACCGCGACTTTTTTTTTTTTTTTTTTTTAAAGCACAGCACGTCCTAGAGCTTGTCACTTGGGACGATTTTGAAATAACCACCCCACTTATCCCAGCGTGGAGCTCCTGCCCAGCATCTTTATGGCCTCAGGCTCCGTGGCTGATAAGCTGGACCTTGATTTTTGGCTTTGAGTATGACTTTGCAAGTTAAGGTTACACAATGACTGTCGCTCTTCGCAGAGCTCTCAAAGTGACTTTTGTGTCAACTGCTTCTCAAAACCTGTTGGGAAAATGCTTTTCCATTTCTCAATTGCACTGCCTTTTAAAAAAGTTATTTTCCCATTATCACTCGAAGTATTAACTTATGTAAACGCGAGGAAAAGTTTACTATTTTCTTTTTTTCTTTTTATTATTTATTTATTTATTTTGAGACGGAGTCTCGCTCGGTCTTGGCTGGAGTGCAGTGGCGGGATCTCGGCTCACTACAAGCTCCGCCTCCCGGGTTCATGCCTTTCTTCTGCCTCAGCCTCCCGAGTAGCTGGGACTACAGGCGCCCGCCACCACGCCTGGCTAATTTTTTTGTATTTTTAGTAGAGACGGGGTTTCACCATGTTAGCCAGGATGGTCTCCATCTCCTGACCTCATGATCCGCCCGCCTCGGCCTCCCAAAGTGCTGGGATTACAAGCGTGAGCCATCCCGCCCTGACAGTATTTTATTTTATTTTTTAGACGGAGACTCATTCTGTCGCCCAGGCTGGAGTGCATTGGCGCGATCTCCGCTCACTGCCAACCTCAGCCTCCGGAGTTCAAGCGATTCTCCTGCCTCGGCCTCCGGAGTAGCTGGGACTACAAGCGTGGGCCACCACGCCCCATTAATTTTTGTATTTTTGGTAGAGACAGGGTATCACCATGTTGGCCAGGGTGGTCTCGAACTCCTGACCTCAAATGATTCCCCCACTTCGGCCTCCCAATGTGCTGGGATTACAGGTGTGAGCCATCGCACCGGGCCTAATATTTTATTTTAATTTTTTAAAAATAGAGATGGCCTCTCACTGTGTTGGCTAGGCTGGTCTCAAACTCCCGGCCTCAAGCAATCCTCCCACCTCAACCTCCAAAAGTGCTGGGATTACCACTTCCGGCTTAATATTTTAAACTTTCTCCAGGGTTTATAGAAAAATGTGATTGACAAAAATTTAATAAATCTTTACCTATGGTGATTGAGTTTCTATTATGTGCTTAGCATATGATATTGAATGCCAAATACAGTTCATACAAATGTTATTTACTGAGGACTTACTATGCAGGGGACTGTGTTGGTTATTTTAGGTGTATTTTTAGTCCTTTAAAGTCCTGTGAGGGGCACATGATATTACATTATATAGATTAGAAGAGTGAGGCACAGATACTTGCCCAAGATCACAGCCAGCAAGTGTCAGTCAGACATGGGTTTCAACCCGGACTCTCTGACTCCACTGTCCTGCTACTTCATCTTTCTTTCCTCCTAAATTATACTCTTGGAAAGTGAGAAAACTAATGTATTTACAACAATTCAGCAATCACGAAATGATGCTGCCTTTAAATGCATTCGGAACTGAAAGAATTCTCTCACCTCTGTGATAGTCTGGTTAATAAACGTTTCCGGAGCCGGGCGCGGTGGCTCACGCCTGTAATCCCAGCACTTTGGAAGGCCGAGGTGGGCGGATCACGAGGTCAGGAGATCGAGAACATCTTGGCTAACACGGCGAAACCCCGTCTCTACTAAAAATACAAAAAATTAGCCGGGCGCCATGGCGGGCGCCTATAGTCCCAGCTACTCCGGAGGCTGAGGCAGGAGAATGGCGTGAACCCGGGAGAGGGAGCTTGCAGTGAGCCGAGATCGCGCCACTGCACTCCAGCATGGGCGACAGAGTGAGACTCCGTCTCAAAAAATAAAATAAAATAAAATAAAATAAACGTTTCCTTGTTATTTCCTTTTTTTTTCTTTTGTTAAGCCAAGCCCTTGCTCTGTTTTCCAGGCTGGAGTGCAGTGGTGCTTACTACAGCCCCAACCCCGAAGCTCAAAGCAATCCTCCTGCCTCAGCCTCCTGAGTAGCTGGGACTACAGGCGCACACCACCATCCTCAGCTAATTTGAAAATTTTTTTGTAGAGTAGGCCGAGCACGGTGGCTCACGTCTGTAATCCCAGCACTTTGGGAGGCTGAGGCGGGTGGATCGCCTGAGACCAGCCTAGCCAACATGGCAAAACCCCGTCTCTATTAAAAATACAAAAATTAGCCGGGCATGGTGGCACAGGCCTGTAATCTCAGCTGCTTGGAAGGCTGAGGCACGATAATCGCTTGAACCCAGGAGGCTGAGAGATCGTGCCACTGCACTCCAGTCTGCACTCTGTCTCACACAAAAAAATAAAACAATAATAATAATAATTTCTGTAAAGACAGGTTTTTGCTATATTGCCCAGGATGTTCTCAAGTGATCCTCCCACAATGGCTTCCCAAAGTGCTGGGATTACAGGTGTGAGCCACCGTGCCCAGCCAGTGAACATTTTGAAATATCTGCCTTGTGTTAACTGGGTGTCTGTCCTTTCTCTTTTCAGTTGACTCTCTGTCTTGAAAGCCAACTGATATTTCAAAAATGAACATCAATGCATAGCTCCAGTTTAAAGACTTCAGTGACTCCCTGCCACCTCCACCCTGATCTAAGGGATTCAGGCTATCTGCCATTCAAGGCTTTTTGCAATCTGCTCCCGATTCCCCTTTCCAGTCAACTTGCATTTGATATCTCTGACTCACTCGTCCCTCAAAGCACCATGTATTTTCACAGCGCTCTGCTTCTGTGCTCAGGTTTTTCACTTTTGTATAATGTTCTCCTGTTATTCCCATGACTTCTAATCAAATCTACCTCTTTGAAGTTTTCCGGGTCTCCTGCCTTACCTGGTGCAGAATTAAATGCTTTCTCCATTCTGTCCCTCTGACCCTTCCCCGGCAAATCAGGGCTTGTTCTAAACTTGTCTCCTTCTGCCTCTACTGAGAAGTTTCCTTGTCATATTTACAAAAATAAGGGATATTGAAATGGAATAATCTCTGTAACTGACTCTTCAGATGCTTTCTAGAGGCGGTGAGATTTGAAGAAGGAATAAGATTTGCATACATAGAGAGTAGACATTTCAGGTGATATAAATTCTGGAAATAGGCATGATATGCAAGCCTGATGTATTCTCTTGATTGAACTGGAGGGTGCTGTTGGGGAATAGTGGTAAATAAGGTTGAAGAAGTTGTAGTGTTGAAATCGGGACAAGAACTTACACGTTTTATAGGGTGGACAGCAGAAGACTAGTTGAGGCTCTTTTTGTTCATTTAACTTATTTCTCTGTTAACAGAACTTTGGCGTGTTTATTAATTTTTTTGTAATAATTTTCAAAACAAGTGGGGAACAGTGGTATGCACCTGTAATCCCAGCTACTCAGGAGACTGAGGCAGGAGGATTGCTTGAGTCCAGTAGTTTAAGACCAGCCTGGGCAGCAAAGCGAGACCCCATCTCAAAAACAAAACACACACACACACACACACACACACACACACACACACACACACACACACCCCAAATTGCAAAGCAACGGAATAGTATTTAAGAAATATTATAAAATTTTACATAAATGTAAAATACAGCTTGTTATTTTATCAGCCTATCACACACTTTCATTTTCTTTTTATCTTTCATATGAATATTTGACCTCTTCCAAGTTTTTTTGTTTTTGTTTTTGTTTTTTTTTTTTTGAGACGGAGTCTTGCTCTATCACCCAGCTGGAGTGCAGTGGGGAGATCTCGGCTCACTGCAAGTTCCGCCTCCCGGATTCTCGCCATTCTCCTGCCTCAGTCTCCTGAGTAGCTGGGACTACTGGCGCCCGCCACCACGCCCGGCTAATTTTTTTTGGATTTTTAGTAGATACGGGATTTCACCGTGTTGGCCAGGTTGGTCTTGATCTCCTGACATCGTGATCCGCCCGCCTCGCCCTCCCAAAGTGCTGGGATTACAGGCATGAGCCACCGCGCCCGGCCCCCTCTTCCAAGTTTTTACTCAAAACTTCATTCTCAAGGAGGCCTTACCTGGTCATCTTAATTTGAATAGTGAAACACATACTCCTTATCTCCCTTGCCTGTTTATTTTTCTCCATCCCACTTTCTTTCATATGATTGTACAATATATTTTACTTATTCGCAATGCTTATTGTCTGTCATCTCCATTAGAGTGTAAACTCCAAGAAGTACTCAATAAATATTTGAATGAATGAATGAGTGAATGTATTACAGCATTGCTGTTATAATATCTGCTGTATTGTATATTTTTCCATTTTCACTTAATAGTCTGTCAGGTTTTCATCTGTTTTTCATAATTATACTTTTTGACAGTTACATTTGAGTGTATAGAATTAATTATACAATAATGGATTAAATCATGCGCCTAACGACATTTTGCTTTTATTTGTTTCTGTTCAATTCGTGGCTTAGTGTAATAAATTCCTGGAAGAAGAATTACACCTTTAAAGGATGTAAGGATTTTTTAGGGTTTTTTTTTTTTTTTTTTTTTTTTTGAGATGGAGTTTAGCTTTGTTGCCTAGGCTGGCGTCAAACTCCTGGGCTCAAGTGACTTCCTGCATTAGCCTCATGAGTAGCTGGGATTACAGGTGAGTGCTACCATGCCTGGCAGATGTAAGGATTTTTTTTTTTTTCAAGACAGAGTCTCGCTCTGTCACCCAGGCTGGAGTGCAGTGGTGCGATCTCAGCTCACTGCAAGCTCCGCCTCCCGGGTTCATGCCATTCTCCTGCCTCAGCCTCCCGAGTAGCTGGGACTACAGGCACCCCCCACCACGCCTGGCTAATTTTTTTGTATTTTTAGTAGAGACGGGGTTTCACCGTGTTAGCCAGGATGGTCTCGATCTCCTAACCTCGTGATCTGCCTGCCTCGGCCTCCCAAAGTGCTGGGATTATAGGCGTGAGCCACCACACCTGGCCAGATGTAAGGATTTTTATGGCACTTGCTCATAATAGGGAAGTGAGCATTTCTCTCCCTCCCTCTCTCTTTCTTTCTGACAAATACTTTTGTGCCCGTATATATAAATGCATTGTCCTTCAAATACTTTAGGCCCTGTCCTTGAAGCAGGGTAACCTGGGGCATTAATATATAAACAACAATTGCAATAAAATAATGAGATAAGTGCTAAGCAGATGTGTCAGAGGACAGACAGGTAGGGAGAATTAGAGAAAGTTTTCTGTGAGAGATCACAGCATTTAAACTGAGCGGTGAAGGACTTAAGTAGGCATAAGTGGGGAAACAGCATGAGTTAGAGGACAGAGATCTGAAATTGCAAGACATCTGTTGAGGCATCAAGAAGAGGGCTTGGGCCGGGCGCGGTGGCTCATGCCTGTAATCCCAGCACTTGAGGCTGAAGCAGGCGGATCACGAGGTCAGGAGATCGAGACCATCCTGGCTAACACAGTGAAACCCTGTCTCTACTAAAAATACAAAAAATTAGCTGGGTGTGGTGGCGTGCACCTGTAGTCCCAGCTACTCGGGAGACTGAGGCAGGAGAATCTCTTGAACCCGGGAGGCAGAGGTTGCAGTGATCCGAGACCATGCCACTGCACTCCAGCCTGGGCAACAGAGCGAGACTGTCTCAAAAAAAAAAAAAAAAAAAAAGAAGAGGACCTGAAGTGTAGAGTGGGAAATGAAGGCGGACAGGTAGCTTGGGGCATTGCACTGGGCCTCAGATGCTTTGCTAACATGTTTGGATTTTAGTCTGTACACAATACACAAAGGTGTTGTTTAAAGGTTGTGTCTCATTCCTTTGTAGCTGGGTAACCTCAGATAAGCTACTTAACCTCTCTGACTCTTAGTTTTCTCATCTGTAAAGTTGGAACAGCACAACTACTTAGCTAGATTATAAAGGAATAAAGAGATAATGGATATGAAGTTCTTAGCAGGATGCCTGATGCACAGTGGATGTTTACAAATGTTCATTTTTATTCCTAGTGGTTTATTTAAAATTGTACTTTTTTTTTTTTTTGAGACAGAGTCTGGCTCTGGAGTGCAGTAGCACCAGCTCAGCTCACTGCTCAGCCTCCCAGGCTCAAGTGATCCTCCCACCTCAGCCTCCCGAGTAGCTGGGACTACAGTCACGTGCCACCACACCTGGCTAATTTTTAAATTTTTTGTAGAAACAAGGTCTTGCCATGTTGCCCAGGCTGGTCTTGAACTCCTGGGCCCAAGCAATCCACCCACCTTGGCCTCCCAAAATCCTGGGATTACAGGTGTGAGCCACTGCGCCTGGCCTAAAATTGCACTTCTTGCAGAAAGAGAAAGTAAGATATTTTCACAGTATACTTAGTATGATTTAATAGAACAAGAAACCCAAGGTTCATTTCCCAGAATGTTAAGTAAGAGCCATATCTTTTATTGCTGCGTAGAATCTATTTTGTTGCTGAGGACAGATCCGCAAATGGACCTACCACAAATTGTTCATCCATCCATTTGTTGATGGACATTTGGGCTCTCTTCAGTTTTTGCTATTACAAATCAAGCTATAAGCATGCATGTACATGTCTATGTACGAACATATGCTTTTGTTTTGCTTGGGTAAATACCTAGGAGTGGAGGGGCTGGGTCATAGGATAGTTAAGTGTTTAATTTCTTTCGTTCTTTTTTTTTTTTTTTTTTGAGATGGAGTCTCACTGTGCCACCTACGCTGGAGTGCAGTGGTGCATCCTCGGCTCACTGCAACCTCTGCCTGCGGATTCAAACGATTCTCCTGCCTCAGCTTCCTGTGTGGCTGGGACTCCAGGCGTGCACCACCATGCCTGGCTAATTTTTTTTCTATTTTTAGTAGAGACGGGGTTTCACCAGGTTGGCCAGCCTGGTCTCAAACTCCTGACCTCAAATGATCCAACCGCCTTGGCCTCCCAAAGCGTAATTTCTTATGAAACCGCCAAACTGGTTTCCAAAGTGGTTATACCCTTTTATCTTCCCTCTCGCAATGAATGGGACTTCCCATTGGTGCACATCCTTGCCAACCCTTGGTGTGGTCAGTCATTGTAATTTTAGACATTCCGAGAAGTACATTCTGTTATCTCATTGGGATTTTGATTTTGTTTTCCCTAGTAGCTAACGATACTGAGTATCTTTTCATGTGCTTCACTTGCCAATCATATATCTTCTTGGGTATCTGTTCAAATCTTTTGCCCATTTTTAGCTGGGCACGGTGGCTCACACTTGTAATCCCAGCACTTTAGGAGGGCGAGGCGAGTGGATCATGAGGTCAGGAGATCGAGACCATTCTGGCTAACACGGTGAAACCCCATTTCTATTAAAAATACAACAAATTAGCCGGGCGTGGTGGCGGGCGCCTATAGTCTCAGCTACTACGGAGGCTGAGGCAGGAGAATGGTATGAACCCGGAGGTGGAGCTTGCAGTGAGCCGAGATCGCGCCACTGCACTTCAGCCTGGGTGACAGAGCAAGACTCTGTCTCAAAAAAAAAAAAAAAAACCTTTTGCACATTTTTTTTCTTTAATGGGCTGTTTGATTTCCTATTATAGGGTTTTGAAAGTTCTTTATACAATCTGGACACAAGTGCTTTACCAGATATGTGATTTGCAAATATTTTCTTCCAGTTTGGGCTTGATTTTTTATTCTCTTAACAGTGCCTTTCAAAGAGCAGGTGTCTTAATCTTAGTGAAATTCAGTTTCTCAAGCGTTTGTTTTTTCTTTTATGAATCTTTCAGCTTGACTCGTTATTGGCATGAGTGCTGGTGTACAATCAGTTGAAGCACTCACATATTGGCTGCTAAACAAAAGTATAACTTTTATCTAGAAAAGGCAGTTTAGAGGTGTCAATGAACAATATATGAAAGTATGGGCCAGACGTGGCGGCTCACGTCTGTAACCCCAGTACTTTGGGAGGCTGAGGCAGGCAGATCGCTTGAGGTCAGGAGTTCGAGACCAGCCTGGCCAACATGTTGAAACCCCATCTCTACTAAAAATACAAAAATTAGCTGGGTATGGTGGCAGGTACCTGTAATCCCAGCCACTTGGGAGGCTAAGGCACGAGAATCACTGGAACCTGGGAGGTTGAGGTTGCAGTGAGCTGAAATCACACCAGACTGGGTGACAGAGCAAGACTCCATTTCAAAAAAAAAGGAGACAAAGTGTGGAGTATATGAAAGTTGAAGACTATCTTCGGTCCAAGCCTCCAAATGGCTAAAGGAGGTATACAAAGGAAATAGCAAGCTAGAATATTGTTTTTCAATGATTGTTGAAATAATGGATCTAGCCAATGATCATCAGTAACTGCTAGCATCACAAAAGAGAGAGTCTGGCCAGGCGCAGTGGCTCACACCGGTAATCCCATTACTTTGGGAGACTGAGGCAGGCAGATGGCTTGAGCCCAGGAGTTCAAGATTAGCCTGGGCAACATAGGGAGACCCCATCTCTACTAAAAAAAACCCCACAACAGCAAGAACAATAATGAGCCAGGTATGGTGGTACACCCCTGTGGTCCCAGCTACTCGAGAGGCTGAGGTGGGAAGATTGCTGAAGCCTGGGAACCCAAGGCTGCCATGAGCCATGGGCACACCACTCACTCCAGCCTGCGGGACAGAGCGAGAATCTGTCTAAAAAAAAAAATCCTAATTGCAGAAATTCCAGTTGCTTTTGAAATATTTTCTGTTTGTTTTATTATAGTTACTAAACCGATAGATGAAGGAAGTTCAAAACTAGTTCAATATAGGACCCTTAAAGAGACTTTCTTTGACTGTCACCCTTTCTGATGGAGGGCTTAGGAAGTGAACCCTGATTCAATTGGCTCCTGGCCTTACTTAGGAAAAACAGACAAGAGGTTAGAATAGATGTTTCGATGGGTCCTTTCAAATCCCTGAGCCTGTCAATTTCTTTTATTTCCCACAGTTTAGTGAGTGGCACGATCATGATACTATGCTAGGTGGTACAATACTGCCACCTATGGAGCAACAGTAGAACTTGTTATAATGTTAACGATGCATGGATTTTTATACAATGCTGTTTAAAAATGTAGAAAACTTGCCATCCAAATGACTCCTTTGATTGGTAGGTTAATAACTGCCTCTCAAACTTATCTTTTGTGGACATCTGATTTGGGTTCACCTAAAAAAGACAAGTGTATGGAAAATGTGAATGAAAATATCTTAATAAACTTTTTGTTTTCTTAGTAGAAGAAATATGGGGACTTTGAATTGAAGATAATGAAATCATAATACTTTAGTTGTGGAAGGTACCTAAAGCATGATTCCGATGAGTGCTGTAGGATCAGTCCAGTTCAGTGTTGGCGCTCACATGAGATGGATCCATCAGTTGTAGCCACAGTGAAGCTGGGGTAGAGTGGAAAGGGGTCAGGACTAGGGAGTCTAGAGACTGCAGAGGTTCTATTACAGACTCAGTCATGAACTTACTCTAAGACTCAGGGTAAGTAACTGAATGTTCTGGAAGATGATTATCTCATCTAAAAGAGTGGCCTTCAAACTTTTTGGATAGCATGCTACTATCAATTAAAATATTTGAGCATAGACTCTCCATATAACTTTAAAAATATATTTATAATGTAAATATGAATTGCTATCATTAACTGGTATCTCAGGGCACAGTATATACTTAGAGCCAGACCGACACAGCATAGTGGCTTAAGAGCATATACTCCGAGCTTAGTGGTGGCTGTGTGACCCTCTCTGCCTATTTCCTCAGTAGTGAAATAGGATAATAGAAGACCCTCGCCTCATAGGGTTATTGTGAGGATTTGAGGTTAATATGTTATGAATTGAAAACAGTGTCTAAGACATAGAAAGCACTCTGACAATACACTTATTATTGTCATTGTTATTATCATGAATATGTCTGCATTTCAAAGGTCCTTGTGGTCCTTTCAGATATTTACTTGACTTCTTGCCAATCTGATAAACAAGTCATTGCTTTTACCTTATTATGTTCTAAGAATAGAAGTGTCATTCTGCCATCTTATTATTCTCTTGAGAATGCATTTTCATCAGATTCAGTTAGTAGATTCTTTGCAGGAATCTTTTCAAGCCATTTGTCCACTGTATGAGTGTTCTTTGATTAAAAAAGTTAAAACTGCATGATAATTTTATATTTCATAAATCTACTTACTAGACTCTTTGGAGACTATCTAAAAGACTAGGGTAGCTCCTCATTTCCCTGGGTGAGTTATTAGAGCTTTTAAAAAGTTACAGATGAGGTAAGTTGCTTAAACTTAAACGTGCTTTTGGAATTGCAGGGGAAACTGGAAAAAAATAAACTTCTTATTGGTGACTTTAGGAAGAGTAAGAAGTAGTATGAGAAAGCTGGTCTCCACAACTCTAGCTTATATTTAAAGCACGATTATTATTCACAGAACATAAGCTATATTTATATGCAAACGTAAGTTTAAAAGCGAGGGCATATAGTATTTTTTTCTTTCTTTTTTCTTTCTCTCTCTCTTGTTTTTTTTGAGACAGGGTCTTTGTTGCACAGCCTGGACTGCAGTGGCACAAACATAGCTTACTGCAACCAGCGCCTCTGTGCTCAAGTGATCCTCCCACCTCAGCCTTCCAAGTAGCTGGAACCACAGGCATGTGCCGCCATGCCTCTAAAATTTTTTTTTTTTGTAGAGACGGGATCTTGCCATGTTGCCCAGGCTGTTTTTTTCTTTTCTTTTCTTTTTTTTGAGACAGAGTCTCACTCTGTCACCCAGGCTGGAGTGCAGTGGCACCATCTCAGCTCACTGCAACCTCCGCCTCATGGGTTCAAACAATTCTCCTGCCTCAGCCTCCCGAGTAGCTGGCACTATAGGTGCCCACCGGCACACCCGGCTAAGTTTTGTATTTTTAATAGAGATGGGGTTTTGCTATGTTGGCCAGGCTGGTCTCAAACTCCGGACCTCAGGTGATCCACCCACCTCAACCTTCCAAGGTGTTGGGATTACAGGGGTGAGCCACTATGCCTGGCCTCTTCTTTTGTTTTTTTTTTTTTAAACAACCTTTTTGAAAGCAGGCCCATGGCTGATCTTCTATCTGTGGCTCAGCAATTGTTGTTGTTGTTGTTTTTAGTGAAAATTAAGTAAATATTAATTGATGACTTTTTTTTTTTTTTTCCCGAGATGGAGTCTTGCTCTGTCACCCAGGCTGGAATGCAGTGGCGTGATCTTGGCTCACTGCAACCTCCACTTCCCAGGTTGGAGCAATTCTCCTGCCTCAGCCTCCGGAGTAGCTGGGACTACAGGTGTGCGCCACCATGCTTGGCTAATTTTCGTATTTTTAGTAGAGACAGGGTTTCACCATGTTGGCCAGACTGGTCTCAAACCTCTGGCCTCAGGTGATCCACCTGCCTCGGCCTCCCAAAGTGCTGGGATTGCAGGTGTGAGCCACTGCACCCGGCCCATCTTAACTTTTTAAAGTGTAAGTTCAGTGGCATTAAGTACATTCACATTTTTGTGTAACCATTACTTCCTTCTGTCTCCATAACTTTTCATCTTGCAAAACTGAAACTCTGCACCCAGTGAACGCTAACTCCTCATTGCCCCATCTGTCCCCAGCCCCTAGCCACCACTATCCTACTTTCTGTCTCTATGAATTTGACTACCCTGTGTATACCTCATATAAATTAAATCATACAGGCTGGGCATGGTGGCTCACTCCATGTAATCCCAGCACTTTGGGAGGCTGAGGTGGATGGATCACTTGAGTTCAGGAGTTTGAGACCAGCCTGGGCAACATGGCGAAAACCCATATCTACAAAAAATACAAAAATTAGCTGGATATGATGGCGCACACCTGTAGACCCAGCTATGGGGAAGGCTGAGATGGGAGGATCGCTTGAGCCCTGGACGTCAAGGCAGCAGTGAGGCAAGACTGCGCCACTGCCCTTCAGCCAGGGTGACAGAGCGAGACCCTGTCTCAATCAATCAGCCAATAATTGTTCTTTGTTAAAGATGACAGCAACACATAATGCAAAAAAAGAAATTTTTTAAAGAAAAAAATGATCATACAGTATTAGTCCTTTTGTGCCTAGCTTATTTCACATAGCATAAGGTCTTCAAGGTTTATCCGTGTTGCATGATATGTCAGAATTTCTTTTTCTTTTTAAGGCTAATATTCTATTGTCTGTATAGACCACATTTCTTTTTTTTTTTTTTTTTTTTGAGACGGACAGCTCTGTCGCCCAGGCTAGAGTGCAGTGGCGTGATCTTGCCTCACTGCAAGCTCCGCCTCCCAGGTTCACACCATTCTCCTGCCTCAGCCTCCTGAGTAGCTGGGACTCAGGCGCCCGCCACCACACCCGGCTAATTTTTTGTATTTTTAGTAGAGACGGGGTTTCACCGTGTTAGCCAGGATGGTCTCGATCTCCTGACCTCGTGATCCGCCCGTCTTGGCCTCCCAAAGTGCGGGGATTACAGGCATGAGCCACCGTGCCAGGCCTGTATAGACCACATTTCAAGTATCCATTCACTCACTTATGGACACCTGGGTTGCTTTTACCTTTTCACTATTTTGAATAACGCTGCTGTAAACACAAATGTATAAATCAGTGGTATTAAGTTCGAAAGAACTTTATGAAATACTTTTTTTTTTTAGGTGGTTGGTTCTAGCTATTGCCATGGTACGTTTTTATATGGAAAAAGGAACACACAGAGGTTTATATAAAAGTATTCAGAAGACACTTAAATTTTTCCAGACATTTGCCTTGCTTGAGGTAAGTTTTCCATCATGCTGTTTTTCTATTGCTGTAATATTTATGTGAACATTTTTTGTTGTGCAAAATCAATATGATTTTGCTGATTACATACCACCTATGGATTTGCTGAATGCCAATGTTGACAGTGGTTTATTTAATGTTTTCTATTATTGACGTAATGATTTTTTTCTATTTGCTTACAGATAGTTCACTGTTTAATTGGTGAGTTTTTGCTTCAATTTTATACTTTTATTATAAATTGCCTTTAGGGCAATAGTTCACTTGTTTTTCTTTTTAAGGAATTGTACCTACTTCTGTGATTGTGACTGGGGTCCAAGTGAGTTCAAGAATCTTTATGGTGTGGCTCATTACTCACAGTATAAAACCAGTAAGTGACACAAACATGTTGTCTACTTGAGCCTGCAGGAAAGCTTTCCATTCATAGGAATCTAAAATATTAACATTTGTATATTTCAGGAGGTGGAAGTGTTGGACAAAAAGGAGTTGGGTTTGAGTTTTAGATGTTGTGCATTGACTTAGTGCCTTAGCAGAATGACTTTGATACACAAACAAACCCAAATATTGGCATCTTAGATCCGTAATATATTCTCCTTTGATATTTTCCAGTTTTTGAAATCAGTATTCAGGTTCTGTCAAATAACCTGCAGAAAATGTTCTTTTCTATAGAAGTTTCTTTTCAATCCAAGTTGTCCTCTTTGATTATGTAATCGAAGTTGTCAGTATACAATTTATTATTTCTGGCCAGCCGCAGTGGCCCACACCTGTAATCCCAGCACTTTGGGAGGCCAAGGCGGGTGGATCACCTGAGGTCAGGAGTTTGAGACCAGCCTGGCCAACATGGTGAAACCCTGTTCCTACTAAAAATACAAAAATTAACCAGGCGTGGGGGCGAGCACCTGGAATCCCAGCTACTCAGGAGGCCGAGGCAGAAGAATCGCTTGAACCCGAGAGGCAAAGGTTGCATTGAGCTGAGATTGTGCCACTGCACTCCAGCCTGGGCGACAGAGCGAGACTCCGTCTGAAAAAAAAAAAAATTATATCTTATTTAGCATTGAGTATTACAGCAACAGACATAAAAAGTAAATGCAGTTCTGTAGATCTGAACAAACGGAAAAGACTGAAAGTTAGAAGGGGTCAAAGGATAAAAATTTTAGTTAGGAGGAATTAAGTTCAAGAGATCTATTATGCAACGTAGTGACTATAGTTAATAGCAATGTATTGTATATTTGAAAATTGCTAAGAGAATAGTGATCTTACCACAAATAAATAAGTACATAAGGTAATACATAGGTTCGTTAGCTTGATTTAGCCATTTCACAATGCGTACATATTTCAGAACATCATGTTGTACACCATAAATATATGCAATTTAAATTTTCAATTAAAAATAATTGTCAAAAAATTGCTAAGGAGCTTTAGGAAAAATAAACAATTTTTATTGAGGCATGACAGGAGACAGACCTAATTATTGAATCTAATTAATGATTCAAACCTTTCAGGCGAGATAGACACCATGCTGCTATGTCAAGATATTGGGCATTTTAAACCCATGACAGGGCCGGGCGAGGTGGCACAAGCCTGTAATCCCAGCACTTTGGGAGGCCAAGGTGGGTGAACCACCTGAGGGTCAGGAGTTCGCGACCAGCCTGGCTAACGTGGTGAAACCTCATCTCTACCAAAAATACAAAAATCAGCCAGATGTGGTGGCGGGCGCCTGCCATCCCAGCTACACGGGAGGCTGAGGCAGGAGAATTGCTTGAACCTGGGAGGTGGAGGGTGCAGTGAGCTGAGATCGCACCACTGCACTCCAGTTTGGGTGACAGAGTGAGGCTCCATCTCAAAAAAAAAAAAAAATTAAACCCATGACAGGAACATTTCCTATGTCAACCCTTCTGACCTTCTTGACAGCCTTTAGAGCCTCCTGTCTACTCGAGGACAGATCTCTGGCCTCCTTTCCATTTCTCACATGCCTTTCTTAGATGCTTGGGGACTGACACCTGACCTCTTCTCTGTTCCTCTTAGCTTCACTGGCCCCCTGTCTGCATGGGGACAGCTCACTGACCTCCTGCTCTTTATACTTTATCCCTCTTGACTAGTATCTTTCACTCAACTTGCATGATTTACCTGCACCCTAAACAGCGACTGCCATGCAGATAGTGCAGATAGCAGTGAGCACATGCAATGGGAGAGGCAAACTATTAATTAACTTTGCCTACTAGTTTAAAAGCAGGAGGACAGCATTAACAGACTAGAAGACAGACTCTTCCAGGCAGTGAGGGAATATAATAGCTGAGTTAGGACCACCATGAGTCTGAAGAATGAAGAAGAAAGACAACATTAACTAGACATTAACTAGAGAGATGGAGGTAAAGGGAAGCTTGAGAGTCGCGAGTTCCAAAAATAAAACAGGACCCGTCTGCCCCGTTTATCCTCCAGAGGATCTCTGCCTTAATATTCCTATTTATTTTTTGCTGACGATAGTTTCCCACTGGTACCTATTCAGCACTCGTTAATTAATTCAACCAATATTATTGAATGCGTTCTCTACACCTGGTGCTGTGCAAATTTCTGGATTTACAGAAATGAATAAGGTGGGCGGGTGGGGTGGCTCACGCCTATAATCCCAGCACTTTGGGAGGCTGAGGCAGGTGGATCACTTGAGGTCAGGAGTTCGAGACCAGCCTGGCCAACATGGTGAAACCCTGTCTCTACTAAAAATTCAAAAATTAGCCAGGTGTGGTGGTGCGCACCTGTAGTCCCAGCTACTCGGGAGGCTGAGGCAGAAGAATCACTTGAACCCAAGAGGCAGAGGTTGCAGTGAGCTGAGATCGCATCACTGCACTCCAGCCTGGGTGACAGAGCGAGATTCTGTCTCAAAAAAAAAAAAAAAGAACAAGGCAATCCCAGCTGTCCAGTGTACTGGCTGTTGGGAAGTGGGGTACACTTAACGTTAAATCACGCACAATGCTAATCATGCACCTCATCTGTGCCCGGCAGTGTGCTGGGATATGGCTGTTGATAAAACAAACATGGTTCTCGCCTGGTGGAGCCTATACTTGGGAGAGAAGCTAAACAAATATTTAATCATATACGTGTTAAGTGCTTTGAAGCAAGAGCTCGGTATGCGTTGCAGTATACCTAAGGACTTAGTCTGACGTAGGGAGTGCAAGAAGGCTTCCCTTAAGGAGGGATACAGATGTTGAATGCTGACATGTACAAGAGTTAGCCAGACAACTCTTAGTACAGATTGGCAAATGCCACAACACAGATATGAACAAAGTACAGTAGAAGAAGGGTGCTGGGCTGGGCATGGTGGCTCATGCCTGTAATCCTAGCACTTTGGGAGGCTGAGGCAAGCAGATTACATGAGATCAGGAATTCGAGACCAGCCTGGCCAACACGGTGAAACCCCGTCTCTACTAAAAATACAAAAATTAGCAGGGCATGTAATCCCAGCTACTCCGGAGGCTGAGGCATGAGACTCATTTGAACCTAGGACGTGGAGGTTGCAGTGAGCCGAGATCATGCCACTGCACTCCAGCCCGGGTGACACAGCAAGACTCCGTCTCACATAAATAAATAAATAAGCTAAATAAATAAATAAATAAAGGTGGTGAGCAAATAACTGCTCAGGGTGAGAGGAGAGGGTTGGAGTCAGTTTTCTAGAGGGCGAGATGTTTTAGCTGAATCTTGAAAGATAGGAAAAGATTTTTTATGGAATAAGAGAGTAACATTCCAGTGAGAGTGAATAGCATGTGTTAAATTGCACAAGTTCAGAGCATATTCTGGAAATAACAACATCTAGTGTCACCAGAGAGAGAAGTAGGTAGAAGGGTTGAATAATTGTAGATGAAGTTGGAGAGATTTCCGAGCAAGGATTGCAAAGAACCTTGAATATGGTGCCCAGGTATTAGGGCTCATCCTTTTATTCTGTTAAGAAGTGTGGGACCAGTGAAACTTTTAAATCACAGGACTTAGCTGATTCCAATTTGTTTTTTATGTATTTGCTTCTTTGACTTCTTTTTAAAAGACAACTTGCATTCATGAGGACAATAAAGGGAGGAAAGACTATTTAGGAAACAGTTACAGTAGTCAAGATGAGAGATGATAAACCCCTGAATTAAAATAGTAGTAAAAGGGCCAAAGATGAGTGAGCAATTCAAGCGTTGGTCCTACAGTAGAACAGGTGTGATTCAATGATTACTAGAAGTAGGAGGGTCAGATTTTGGTTTCAGCAAGGTAACATTGTCCTCTGATGATAGCGTTATTTCCTGAAGTGAAGGACGAGGGAAGAAAAACGAGTCTATGCTCAACTATTCCTGTGCATAAGATACGTTTAAGTTCCACGTTTATAATTAATTATGTTAATGGTGACTGCATTAAGTTTTCTATATTGCATTTGCCTAACCCTAACATTCCATTATAAATAAAAGGCAATAAATAAGTAAAGTAAGTACCTTCACTGAAAAGTAAGTTCTAGGTTGAATGACACTGGGTTTCTCTGTAATTCTGCAGATCCAGAATGAAGAGAGTGTGGTGCTTTTTCTGGTCGCGTGGACTGTGACAGAGATCACTCGCTATTCCTTCTACACATTCAGCCTTCTTGACCACTTGCCATACTTCATTAAATGGGCCAGGTGGCGATATCTTGCAGTTTAGTTTCTCCTTGTCCTGTGCATGCTTATTTTGTGTGCTAACGCCAGAGAATTAAAATTCGTGTTTCAGCCCCACGATGCCAGAATGCTGTTATAGGAGGTATAACTGGTATAACTAATAATTATACAAGTTATGATTTGTATTCTAAAAGCTTAATGATGAGAGAGGAATCGTATTAATAAATATTTTGAGTGAAATCAATGTGAGACAAATTGTGGTATCCTTAACCTCAGAATTAGTCATTCATTTTTTTTTGGAAAGCACAATATACATTTTTGGAATTAGCTTACATAAGCAGTACCAAAAATATGTTTTTTTTTTGTCTGTGATGTAAATTATTTTAATAGTCAATCTAGCAGCCACAATTTATACCATTTACACAATGCGATTGGTTTTTTTCTTTGCTTTAAGTTGCAGAGACATTTTTAAAAGTCACACTTACTTAAAATTGTATTATTTGGAATGTGGATAAAATTTATATTTGAAGGGCTCCAAATATATCCTAAAGCAACAGTTTTTAAAGGAAAAGATATCTGTTCTTCTTGAAGTTTGAATTCTTTGAGCAATTGACGTTTTAGAAAGTTATTATAAAAGCAAAACTGCTCTTTGGAGAACAAGTCACAAATCAGTATAGACTTGTTCATTTTATTCTTTGTATTGTACTTTATGGTAGCAATAACAATGACAAATGGTGTGTGCCTACTGCATGCCTGAGATGTAGGTATGAACAAAACAAATTCTCTGTCTTATGATGAAGACAAAACATAAACTAATAATATGTGATATGTCAGGTGGTGATAAATGCTGGGATTATAGGTGTGAGCCACCATGCCTGGTCAATTACTATTTTTTAATCCCAAGTATTATACATGTTCAAATATAATAAATGAGAATATATAAACCAAAAAGAAGGAAAACCACTTTTAAATTACTTATAATCTCTCTAACCAAGGATAACCACTGTTAATTGTGTTTTATGGGTTTTTTTCTCTTTTTTTTTTTTTTTTTTTTGAGACAGGGTCTCATTCTGTCACCCAGGCTGGAGGATAGTGGCACGATCTCGGCTCACTTCAATATCCACCACCTGGGCTCAAGCGATTCTCCTGCCTCAGCCTCCCAAGTAGCTGGGAGTACAGGTGCAGGCCACCACACCTGGCTAATTTTTGTATTTTTTGTAGAGATGGGGTTTTACCATGTTGCCCAGGCTGGTCTCGAACACCTGAGCTCAAGTGATCCACCCACCTCGGCCTCCCTAAGTGCTAGGATTACAGGTGTGAGCCACTGCGCCTGGCCATGTTATATACTCTTTGTGACTTTTTAATATTCTCTAGCTCTTTTTTAGACACTTGCGGCTTACCACTTTGTATATGATGAGATACTTTGAAATTATAATTTGAGCTTAAGTGTCTTGTCTGTCATAAGAAGGTTGTACTACCATTTATATGGATTTGGTTGGTTTTAATCTTACTGTACATGAAAATGTGTTTACCTTTAGTGACTGAGCTTTTTAAAGGTTGGCAGTTTTGAATGTAGCTGGACTCTAATCCTAGAACACATCAATATCATTTCGCATGACAATGTTCTGGACCTCTGGCACCTTTGAAAATACTAACTTACCATATAGTCTCTTTTCATGTGCTGAATTTACAAAATTTGTCTGAAGAGGATAGCAGAATGTACATTGCATATTTTCCTGAGGTTGGCACATTAGACTTGATGGCTTTGTGTGTCTGTCTTTTGGAATGCATTTGCATGTCTTGAGTGTCTGGAAAAGATAAAAACTCTGCCATCGTATGTTTAAATTTGCTGTTTAGAAAGTGTTTATCCATTGCAGGCTGGGCGTGGTGGCTCATGCCTGTAATCCCAACACTTTGGGAGGCCAAGGTGGGCGGATCACTTGAGGTCAGGAGTTCCAGATCAGCCTGGCCAACATGGTGAAACCCCATCTCTACTAAAAAATTAAAAAATTAGCCACATGTGCCTGTAATCCCAGCTACTTGGGAGGCCGAGGCAGGAGAATTGCTTGAACTAGGAGGTGGAGGTTGCAGTGATCTGAGATCACACCACTGCACTCCAGCTTGGTGACACAGCGTGACTCTGTCTCAAAAGAAGAAAGTGTTTATCCATTGCCTTAATGTTAAACAAGTTATACAGTCTTTCAGCTTTGAAATCATATGTTACATAATACTTTGTCAGTTGATCATAATCATAAATAATTATGTTTCATGTCAAAAAGATCTTAAAAATCCCAGCCATCTAAATATGTTTCCCAACTCCATTAAGTAAGGTAAAATAATATTTGTATTTATGTTCAGATGTTGAAGCTGTCATTCTCGAATAAAACTACACTTTAGAAATGGCTTCTTAGTTATAAGTAGTTTGGCCTATTGTTACAGTTTGAATATACTTTGATTCTATTTATGTGTCATAAGTGTTCTTGGAAAAGTCCTCAGAATAGGTAATTGTATATATTAAGTTAGGTTTTTCATATTGATTTAAAATGCACTCCCTTCAAAAAAATTTTAGATAGTAATTGGGAACCTTCAAAGAAGCATTGTATCTTTTTTTTTAATGTGGTCTATCCATAGTTAAATCTCCCATACTGCCCTCAGAACTTAGAGAAGTAGTAACATGCAATCTTTTTGAAGTGCAAGTAAAGTCAAATTATATAATTTGTTCCCATTTCATTAGAAATTTTCATTGCCCTTAAGACTTTCAACTAGCTTATTGTAGGAGTGTTAATTTTTTCTTCTATTGAAGAACAATCCTGCCAAAAAAAAAAAAAATCTTTTGAAAACCACATAAAGTAAAAATTGCAACTTAATCAGTTTGGGTATTTTACTGAGACAGGTATATAAAATGTCCAGTTATGGGATTTAATAAATTGAGGAATAGGGAAAGATTGATTTAAATGATACACAAATAACTACCCAAAACTGGTAAGAAAGCAGGGAGTTTCTCCAAGGCCAAGAAGGGATTAACAGGTACAGTGAAGGAATCATTCTTCTTTCTTGAATAGCTCATCTATTTTGGCAAATAATTCTGCCCTTCTCCCCATCTCTTATCTTCGCATATCCTTGACATACAGGAATAATGCAATTTTTAATTTGTCTCCAAGCTTCTTCAATACTGACAACTTTGACTTTTCTTTATAGATATTTCCTAATGCCAACAAAATGATTAAATAAAATACAGATTAATTTGATTTCTTTTTCCATCAAAATGTTGACCTTTTGTTTTAAATTAAAAACATTTTTCTTTTTTTAAATTAAATTTATTTTTTTTGAGACAGGGTCTCGCTGTGTCACCCAGGCTGGAGTACAGTGGTGCGGTCTTGGCTCACTGCCCCCTTGACCTCCTAGGCTCAAGCAATCCTCCTGCCTTAGCCTCCCAAGTAGCTGGGGCGACAGGCATGCACCACTGTGGTCTGCTCATTAAATTTTTTTTTGTGAGACGGGGTCTTACTATATCGCCCAGAGTGGTCTTGCACTCTGGCCTCTTAAGTTTTCTGTGGTAACTGTTATATAGTGACTGAGTCAGAGAAAAATGATTTTTTTTTTTAATGAAGAAATATGATCATCTTGGATCCTTTAGGCCCCTCTTATTGGAGACCAGCCAGTAGAACACAGAGTGTTTCCTAATTGGAAGCATACAGGATGCCTGGCCTACTGTGTGTTCCAGACCTTGCCACAGACCAAATGAACACATGATGACTTTGGATTTAGAGTAGAACTTTCTTAACTCTACTTTAAACAAGCTCACTCTTCTTTTAATGTGGGAATTCAGGAACTAACTTGTCAATTTATTTTGTTACGGTAGCAGTTTTAGACAATATAATATACTCATTAGTAGCTACTCATGCTTCAGGTGGTATTATCAGTTTTCTGCAATAATTGGTTTTCATTAGTAACCACAAAGACTTTTTCAAATGCCTCTTAAAAATAACTACCTTGGTAATTTCAAGGTTTAGATATAAAATTTAGGATAATCACTGGTCTTTTTAAACGCAGTGTTTGATCAATAAATTACTAGCTGCCGCGGACAAAAGCAGTCATTTGTGATTTTATGCACCAAAGAAGTTACCATTACAATACTTTTTTTAAAGCTACATAGGCCGGGCATGGTGGCTCATGTCTGTAATCCCAGCACTTTGGGAGGCTGAGGCGGGTGGATCACCTGAAGGCAGGAGTTCAAGACCAGCCTGACCAACATGGTGAAACCCTGTCTCTACTAAAAATACAAAAATTAACCGGGCGTGGTGGCGGGCGCCTGTAGTCCCAGCTACCCAGGAGGCTGAGGCAGGAGAATTGCTTGAACCCGGGAGGTGGAGGTTGCAGTGACCCAAGATTGTGCCACTGCACTCCAGTCTAGGCGACAGAGTAAGACTCCATCTCAAAAAAAAACAAAAAACAAAAAAAAAAAACACCAAAAATTAGCTGGGTATGGTGGCACACACCTGTAATCCCAGCTACTTGGGAGGCTGAGGCAGGAGAATTACTTGAACCCAGGAGGTGGAGGTTGCAGTGAGCCAAGACTGTGCCGCTGCACTCCAGCCTGGTGACAAGAGCGAACTCCATCTCAAAACAAAAACAAGAAAAACTACATATACATTTTTTAATACATAAAAGTATTTTGGTACTCTAAAATAAGTTGATACTATTTTATTAAAAAGACATTGCCTATTATGGAAACTGGTATTAGGAAAAAAAGGATGATAATCAATAAGCAAATGATTAAAGTAGAACTATTAACCTTACGTAAGGTTATTGTAAATATGTAAAGAAAAGAGAATTTTGAAGTTTAAATTTAGTAGTAGCAATAGACCTGCAATGTAAAGTCTAATAATTATTGTAGAAAAATAATTCTCTGAGGTTTTTCTTTCTCCAGATATAATTTTTTTATCATCTTATATCCTGTTGGAGTTGCTGGTGAACTTCTTACAATATACGCTGCCTTGCCGCATGTGAAGAAAACAGGAATGTTTTCAATAAGACTTCCTAACAAATACAATGTCTCTTTTGACTACTATTATTTTCTTCTTATAACCATGGCATCATATATACCTTGTAAGTATATACTTATTAGTACTTTGATTTGACATATGATGTGGAAATTTTTGAAAGGATATAATAATATGCAAGGGGAAATAATTAGAAATAATTGCTTACAAATACATTAAAACTTCGGTTTAACTCCATATTTACTGATAATTTGGGAAAAGTGAAGGGAGATAGAGGCAGAAGACAGTTCATTAGCTATGAGAATAAAGGCAGGTAAATTAACGCATGGATTATTGCTTTCTCAAAATCATTTAAACATCAGCTTAGTATGATTTTTTTAAAGAAAGATAAAAACAAATCATGTTTAAAGCATTAGTGCACTTTTTACAAGCATTTAGAATTATATGTCTGAGTATAAACACTGTGTCCAAGAAAATTTCAGATCATTTCTATCTATTCATTAAGCATATACTTGGAAAAATCATCTAGGAGTAGTTTTGAGTCTTATTTGTGTTGCTCTATGTACTTGCAAATAATAAAGCCTCTTTTCTTAAAGGATTTTGAATAAGTCAGCCTCTTCACTAATTTCTCATCATCTTTCAGCAGTTGAAGTGAATTGGTAAGGCTTTACTCCATTTCAGTGCTGCTAATAGTGAGGCAGGGCTCCGTGGCTCATGCCTATAATCCCAGCACTTTGGGAGGCCGAGGCAGGTGGATCACCTGAGGTCAGGAGTTCGAGACCAGGCTGGCCAACATGGCAAAACCCTGTCTCTACTAAAATACAGAAATTAACTGGGCATGGTGGCGCATGCCTGTAATCTCAGCTACTCAGGAGGCTGAGGCAGGAGAATCGTTTGAACCTGAGAGGCAGAAGTTGCAGTGAACTGACATGATGCCATTGCATTCCAGCCTGGGCAATAAGAGTGAGACTCTGTCTCAAAAAAAAAAAGGCGTGGGGGCTAATAGTGATATATTTTTAAGTCAAATATTGATAGCTCTAAAATCTACATCGACATGATACAAATTATTTCATCTAAAGGAGATGCGCATAAAACTTGGCCAGCCCCTTGAGGTCTCCAACTTTTTTTTGTTGTTTTTTTTGAGACAGAGTCTTGCGCTTTTGCCCAGGCTGGAGTGCAGTGGCGCCATCTCAGCTCACTCCAATCGCTGCCTCTCAGGTTCATGGGATTACAAGCGCCTGCCACAGTGCCCACCTAATTTTTGTATTTTTAGTAGAGACGAGGTTTCACCATATTGGCCAGGCTGGTCTCAAACTCCTGACCTCAAGGGATCCACCCACCTTGGTCTCCCAAAGTGCTGGGATTACAGGCATGAGCCCCTGCCCCCGGCAGATGTCTCCAACTTGTATCTTTCCCAAAGTCAAAATTGACTTAGTGGTGAAAGATATGTTTTCCCCTTGTCTTCTACCACTTCAGCCTGATTCTGTATCTGATTTTCTACCCCAGCCAGTTCGGGAGAGCTAAGGAGGGGATGCCTACTCTATTGGTTCACATCCCTCTCTTTTCCCAATGGCAGGTTAATGGTAGCATTACTTGAACAGAACCAGAGCTTGCTTCGGTGTCTGTCTGACAGTTACAGGTTCAAACAGTGGGTTCTCTTCCTCCTCATGGCTTTTGAGGCATCTCCATGGAAATGGAGAGCCTGAAGCACCTTTTTCAGTTGTCCTGGGAGATGTAGACTCTGGCCTGTACCAGTAGCAGCTTCCCAGTTCACCATGCTGCCAGCTACTGAGTCCCACTGGCCAGAGAATCACTCAGCCCAGAACATGTTTTCCACTGCATTTTTTTTTAATTCCCTCCTCCCCCTGCATTCTTAATGTTAGTAATAAATCAATTAATTTTACTTATTAAATCCTTTGCTAATTAAAAGTACTTTTTGAGTACTTAGTATTCAAAAGTAGTAGTATTATTTCTCATTTACATTAAGATGAAAGAGGTTAAGTGAGTTGCTTAAAAATCACTAGCTTGTGGCCTGGTGTGGTGGCTCACACCTGTAATCGCAGCACTTTGGGAGGCCAAGGTGGGAGGATTGCTTGAGGTCAGGAGTTCAAGACCAGCCTGACCACCATGGTGAAACCCCGTCTCTACTAAAAATACAAAAATTAGCCAGACATGGTAGTGGGCACCTGTAGTCCCAGCTACTCAGGAGGCTGATGCAGGAAAATCACTGAAACCGGGGAGGCAGAGGTTGCAGTGAGCCAAGATTACACCACTGCACTCCAGCCTGAGTGACAGAGTGAGACTCCATCTCAAAAAAAAAAAAAAAAAAAAAAATCAGTAGCTGGTGAGTTAAGGCAGGGTTTGAACTCAAGCCCATACCTTCTGTTCAGCTACTCGGAATTTTATGGAAGTATTTACAATAATTGGTCAGTGAGTTTAAGTAATTATGACCTGAGTAAATTTAGCCCCCTAGGTATATATAATGTGATGGTAACCTTTCTTAAGTTAGGAAGAACCTAAATAGAAAGACTTTTTATCCAAAGTTGCCTAAGCAGGATATTCAAAGCTTGTTTTGTGATAAGGTTCATTGGTTTGATTATTCTGATCATCATATTCAGAAATATTTTTACACTGGCATTGTTTATAGCTGATATTAATTTGTTTATCCACCAACATTTATACTATGAAACACTGGTTTGAAACACTGGTTCAAATTGGTTCAAAATATTCTTCAAATTTGACTGGACAGATGACAATTTGTCCAACTGACCTAATAACGTATGTATTTATGTGTTATTATATAATGGATTAAATACCCTTACACCCAGCCAGGAGGAGCTTCTGCTTTAGGCTCTGTTAAGAGGACCTTGCTGTAGCTCTTCTGTGGTCACTCCACACAGCACCCCACTGCCTTCTAGATCACATTCTAGAAACCTGAGACCATGGAATTTGCTACCCAGAGGGCAATGAGCATGCATCTGGGCCCTAACCAGGCTTCTTCGTTGATCCATGGTCCTGAGGGTTAACCATGTATCAGTATACGCACCCCTGAGAAAACAGGATAGCCAGGGGGCAGCTGTTTGTGAGGGGTATGGATGAAGCTTAGATGTATGCACCCGGGTATCCTCACACATGTGCAGGAGACCCCTTGCAGTACAGGATACAGCCAGTAGAATGGAGAAGAGGAGGCTGGGTGGGGCCAGTTTTCCCTGTGCTGGAATGTTCTGGCGCAGCATTCCAAAGAGTTCAGAATTCTAAACTCAAACATGGTCTTCCAGGTCATTATGAAGGTATTTTTATCAAGGTATTTAAGTTTGTTAAAAACAAGCAAAAATAGGCCGGGCGCAGTGGTTCATGCCTGTAATCCCAGCACTTTGGGAGGCCGAGGCAGGCGGATCACTTGAGGCCAGGAGTTCAAGACCAGGCTGACCAACCTGGTGAAATCCCATCTCTACTAAAAACAGAAAAATTAGTCAGGTGTGGTGGTGATGCATGCCTGTAATCTCAGCTACTCGGGAGACTGAGGCAGGAGAACTGCTTGAACCTGGGAGGCAGAGGTTGCAGTGAGCTGAGATCATGCTACTGCACTCTAGCTGGGGCAATAGAGTGAGACTCTGTCTCAGGAAAAAAAATAAATAAGCAAAAGTAAAAACAAAACCTCAACAGTTACAGCATTAGAATATTTAGGCATGTGGTATGTGGGCTTCCATTTGCACTCTTATAGTCTTGAGCTCTGTAAATATCCAGGGAACAGCAGTGGTATGGGATGTATTTACTCTCTAACATTGCCACATTTAACAGGTTTCAAGTATAAATAATTTTAAAGCAATAGCTTGTTTTTCTTTGTTTTCTTTTTCAATGAAGTGTTTCCACAACTCTATTTTCATATGTTACGTCAAAGAAGAAAGGTGCTTCATGGAGAGGTGATTGTAGAAAAGGATGATTAAATGATCTCTGCAAACAAGGTGCTTTTTCCAGAATAACCAAGATTACCTGAGTCCAAGTTTTAATAACAAGAATAAACAACTTTGTGAAATATCATGGATTGTATGGTTTCTTAAAATATAACTTGAGACACGTGGTATTTGCCAGTATTTGTGTTCCTCTTGTGCCAGATCTATTTTTTACAAGAACTGTGCAAATATCAGTAACTTTTGGGTAGGTATTGATTATTAGGAAAATAATTAGGTGTATTATCTGGGGGAAAAAAAAACTTTTGCTAAGTTTTTTTTGAAACATGCTCAAAGCTTTTTAAATCAATATTTAGAAATTAGTTTAACGATTTACTATTATACCTGCTAGTGATATTTATGTGATATTTATAAATGAAAATAAATGCAAAATTATAACAACTTGTTAATAATGTATTGGTATTTTTGAACCCACAATCTATTTTTTCAGGAATAAGGCAGCATTATGACTAATAACAGTGTTTGGAAGCGTGGATATAATTTGCTAAAGTAAGACTTTTGATGTAGATAAAGTAGCAGCATAAAAACACACAAATATTCAAGTAGATGTCACAGTTGGAAAATATTCTTTGGAAATATTTCTAGGCAGCTGAAATTACTTATACTGCTAAGGAAATCTGCTTTTTATTTAAATTAGCCACTTAAGGACAAGGTTTTCAACTGTGAAGGTTTTAAGGGGTTAGGAAGAGCATAAGTATTTGCCCCACTATTAAAAAAAAAACATGACATCTGACTATAATGTTGTATTCAGGCTGGGAGTGGTAGCTCATGCCTGTAATCCCAGCACTTTGGAAGACTGAGGCAGGAGGATCGTTTGAGCCCAGAAGTTCAAGGCCAGTCTGGGCAACATAGCAAGACCCCATCCCTAAAAAAATTACAAACAAAAAAAATTAACCAGGCATGGTGACACATGCCTGTAGTTCCAGCTGCTTGGGAGGCTGAGGTGGGAGGATCACTTGAGCCCAGGAATTCAAGGTTACAATGAGCTATGATGGTACCACTGTACTTAAGCCTGGGTGACAGAGCAAGACCCTGTCTCTGAAAAATAGTGATGATGATGATGATGATGATAACGATGATGAGGAAGATGATCATGCTGTACTCAGAACTTTGGTTGAGAAAGTCTTCTCTATACTGTAGAATTATCTTGTAACAATTGTTATGATAATCCCTTTGTGGTACTTAGGTAACTAAACATTTTGGGGTATGATCTTTGGACAGACTCCTTTCATTCTGAATTCCATTGAATAGCAAAAGGTCTTGTAATAAAGTTCCTGTCCTTGTGTTTAATAAAAAAAATACACCAGACCTACTTTCATAACTGCCTTAATTTGTAAATAGGTCCTTTAAAAAATTTCCCTCCTTTATTCAAGTATGTTGATTTACTAACCCAGTTTTTGAGAGAATATTAAATATGTGACTTTCAAAGAAAAGGAACTTTTTTTCCCCACTATAGATATCTAGGTGTAATTTTGGCTTTAAATGTTCTGTATTGTTTCCATTTATAATCAACACATAACATTACACTTCTAAAAATTACTTGATTTTGTGTTACCACCTCCTTTACAGATTATTTTCACACAGAGATTTGTAGTTCAGAACATTTTTGCAAACCTTTACTTTAAATAACTTGGTTTTTCAAAGGTGCTATTTCTTTTATTACATTACGTTGTAATGTTTCCTCTGCAGCTGACTGTTTCGTTGAGCAATATGGATTAAGTTACTAGTTCTCAAAAGATCTAACATTCATTCTGCTCTTACTCTATGTGATCAGTTTCATCTTGGATTTTTATATGGAAGAAATTGTCAGGGAGTCTTTACCTTTGGTTACATAGTATGAGAATTTCACATATTTATTTTATTAGATGCCTATCTTGCAAAAAATATTTTAAATCATATTTCTAAAATGTGCATTAATTCAACTAGTACTGCCTTCAAGTGGCTGTAATACTTTTTCTTCTTATGTTGTGGAATATCTTGAAGTAGGAATTGTGATTCACTTTAATAAAAAATGCATTAAACTATTTGGTGACCCTTTAACATATGCAAAGTACACCTAAACTTTAAATTTCGTTTATCTTCTATATTCGACCAATTCTAAACGTTATTTGTTTGGAAAATGAAGTGCTAAACAGTAGTTGATTTTAAAAGGAAAAAATATTTGAAATTCCTTTACACTTGTGTTGACAGAAAAGAGTCAAACTCTGTAAAATATTTGAAGAGATTTATTCTGAGCCAAATATAAGTGACCATGGCCCATGACACAGCCCTTAGGAGGTCCTGAGAACATGTGTCTAAGGTGGTCGGGGTTCAGGTTGGTTTTATACATTTTTAGGGAGGCATGAGACATCAGTCAGATACATTTAAGAAATACATTGGTTTGGTCCAGAAAGGCAGGACAATTTTGGGGGTGGGGGTTCCAGCTTATAGGTAGATTTTAAAATGTTCTGGTTGACAATTGGTTGAGTTTATCCAAAAACCTGGGCTCAACAGAAAGGAATGTCTGGGTTGCGATAAGAGGTTGTGGAGACTCAGGAGTTCGAGACCAGCCTGGCCAACATGGTGACGTAGCAGGACAAGCTGCAGACAAAACCCCTCAGACACCGAGTTAAAGAAGGAAGGGCTTTATTCAGCCAGGAGCTTCAGCAAGACTCACGTCTCCAAAAACCGAGCTCCCCGAATGAGCAATTCCTGTCCCTTTTAAGGGCTTACAACTCTTAAGCGGGTCTGCCTGAGAGGGTTGTGATGGATTGAGCAAGCAGGGGGTATGTGACTGGGGGCTGCATGCCCCAGTAGTCAGAATGGAACAGAACAGGACAGGGATTTTCACAATGCTTTTCTATACAATGTCTGGAATCTCTAGATAACATAACCGGTTAGGTAAGGGGTCGATCTTTAACCAGGCCCAGGGTATGTTGCCAGGCTGTCTGCCTGTGGATTTCATTTCTGCCTTTTAGTTTTACTTCTTTCTTTGGAGGCAGAAATTGGGCATAAGACAATATGAGGGGTGGTCTCCTCCCTTAGTGAAACCCCATCTCTACTAAAAATGCAAAAATTATCCGGGTGTGCTGGCACACCCCTGTCATCCCAACTGTTCAGGAGGCTGAGGTGGGAGAATTGCTTGAACCCAGGAGACGGAAGTTGCAGTGAGCTGAGAACGTGCCACTGCACTCCAGCCTGGGCGAGAGTGAGAGCCCATCTCAGAAAAAAAAAAAAAAAAAAAAGAAGTTGTGGAGACCAAATTTCTATCCTGCACACGAAGCCACCAGGCAGCAGGCTTCAGAGAGAATAGTTGTAAAATGTTTTAGACTTAAAGTCTGTGCTGATTTTAATGCTGGAGATGTATAATCAGGCATGTCTGACTCCCACTTCCTGTCATGGCCTGAACCAGTCTCTCAGGTTACATTTTAAAAGAGCCCTAGCTGAGGAGGAAGTCCATTCAGATGATTGGGTGTTGCAGGGGGACGGGGCTTTTATTTTTGGTTTCCACCGTTTTCTGTGACTGCATCTTCTTTTGACCTTCCCCATAAATGACCATAACTTTCAATAGCCAAGTCAGGGTTTGTATCAGACAGAACTTTGGAATACAGTCCTGCAGACTTGGGCATTTGAAACACAGATCAAGAAATTTTGATGCTAGCAACTTTCAATTATATTTGGTGACAATTCCTTCATATTCTGATTGTTTTTTGATTTTCATAGCTTTATAGCTTGCTATATTATACAATATGCAAGTTTTAAAAAATATTTTTCAAAATGTTAATTCGACATGAATATAGCAACATCCTTGATAGTTTTAGCTTTTTAAAAAAGCATGCCAGAAAGGTAAGAAAGTCATTTTCACCAAGAGTTTTTGTTGCTTGACATCTATAGATTTTCAGAAGCATTATTTTCTCATCTTTATATTTTTAAGCATCTAATTATTATGCTGCAATGTCATAGTTTCTAGTGATATATTGCAAATGATCTAAACTTTGCAATAATCCCTTTTCCTCTTCACAAATATGTATCTCATGCCCACTGTGTGTCAGGCCCTGTTGTAGGGAATTAACATCTTCCTCTTATCTTACCTCTCTCTCCCCTACACAGTAAACCTTTAGCAAAATTACTGGGTTAGATTGGTTAGTAAATCATATTGCAAAATAATTATCTGTGCTTTAACAAATACAGTGTGTTGATAATCTGATGGGATGGGTTCTTTGTTACTCATATGTGTATAAGCATATTAGGGCACCACTAAATCGACAGAATTCTGGACTAAAACTACTTCATAACAAAATCAGTTATAGTTGATGAGACCAATACAATAAATCATTAAGAGATCCTTGAAGGAAAAAAAATAACTGTAAAAGGCAACATTTAAAATATTTTTCATATGCATATGGGACGTATAGAGGTATTTACCTTTCACATACATTTAGATTTGGATTACACATATAATTGATAGAATAAAAAATAAGCAATGCAGTTTTGTAATTTCTAGTATGAAGGCATTGAATAGAACTTAAAATTCAATTTGTTTATAGTTTTAGTCTAAATTTACAAAATATTTAAATAGACATAGGTCTCTCCTTTAGATATG